>NC_000010.11:19252424-19403939 GCF_000001405.40 Homo sapiens | reverse complement strand
GTTTTATATTCTTTTGACTACCAAGAAAATTCAGCTCCGATTCTAATGAAGCCACCAAAGTAATTAATTTCAATGTTCTGCCTTATAATTTGGGGATTTTCTGAAAAATAACTTAGAAACAAACGCTAAAAAGACTAAAGAATATTCTCACCATTCTTTCATCATTCAGGAGCCATATGCAGCTCTAACTTTGGTACGATTTTATTTGCTGAATGACCCCCAGTGAAGTCAAAAAGAGTCAAGATAACTCATTAAAAATATGACCTGTAAAATCCTTAGGGCTCATGAATGCTGATGAAAAGAAAGCCATGAATTCACATAAAAATATTATTTTACCCTTCTTTTTAACCTTAAGTCTCTAAGTCACTTCAATTGCTAGCACTCAGAATAATGATCCCTCAGCTCATAAGTCTGAAAAACTAAGTCTGCTTTCTTGTCACCAACACGTTAGCATAAAAGAGGGCAAAGCAATGCTCAATGATTATATGTGGATATATTAAATGCCACATTGTGAATGGAAAATAAAATGTATCAGCATTTGTAACCTATAACAAAGTCCTCAATGAGTCATTCATGGAATTTTTAATGGCAAAACCCTAATACATATGGTCTAATTCATAAAGTAAATTCATAACCAGATGGTCTAATTTATAAAAATAATAGTAATTCATCCAAGTCCACTTTTATGGCTTCTATTTTTTATTCATGGAGGCATAATATTCACAATATGATGTAAGGGTTTTAAATCAGGACTACAAAACTAGACTTTTTTTTTGGAAAACATAAATTCTTTTTAGACTGCATAGATAATTCCATCATCAGCTTCCAATTTCCCCTAAATCTTCCACTTTGTAAATTATTATTATAGGTTCACATATTTTTCTCCTTGTTTATAGTTAAGCTTCTTTAAGCACTATAAATGTCTTATTTTTTTCTAACATTATATGAGTCTACAATGAGCCATTTATTACGGAGGACACAAAACTAAATTGTGCCTACATCTGACTTTCAAGGTAGTGGTAGTAAGTGACAAGACGCAGAAGGGAAAATATTCAATCTGGATCTAGGAAGATGTTCAGGATTTGGTTATGTCAAAATCTACATGTGTGTGTTTGGTGGGGGAAGGATGGAGGGAGACAAGCATTCCAAATGTAGAAAAAGATATGGATTTAACAAAGGCATGGATAAGAAAAAGGCACAAATAAGAGCATGGAAGACACATGTGTATTAATAATATGTGGTTACCCTGGCTTATTAAGAAAGATTTTAAGGGAATAACTATTTTATTTTATTCATTTTTTTGGAGATAGGGTATATTAGTCTGTTCTCATGCTGCTAATAAAGACATACCCAAGAGTGGGTAATTTATAAAGGAAAGAAGTTTAATTGACTCACAGTTCCACATGGCTGGGGAGGCCTCACAGTCATGGCTGAAGGTAAGTGAGGAGCAAAGTCATGTTTTACATGGTGGCAGGCAGGAGAGCTTGTGCTCCGATTTATAAAACCACTGGATCTCCTGAGAGTTACTCACTACCAAGAGAACAGTACAGGGGAAATCACCCCCGTGATTCAATGATCTCCACCTGGCCCCGTTATTGACACATGGGGATTATTACAATTCAAGGTGAGATTTGGGTGGGGAAACAGCCAAACCATATCATGGGGTCTTGCTACGTTGCCCATGATGGTCTCAATCTCTGGGACTCAAGTTTGGTGATTGTGTTAAGTTTGACAACTTGCTCTCTCAAAAGATAAAGAACGATGGCCTTCCCAGAAGAAAGAGCATTCTCAGAGACTGACAGGTGGGACTTGGAGAAAAAGTAGAGGGTATAACATGCATTGTTAAGAGGGGCCAATATTGCCCCCAAGGGGACAAAAATTGGTTTTGAGGGAGCAGAATTTTAGATATCACGTAGTTTTTGGCTTTCCAAAGCTCAGTGTTACATGTAAGTCTCATTCTTCAATATTTAATTATTCTTGTTGGGTTTATGTAAGTATCATGTTTTCTTAAGTATCAACATGAGTGGTATTAGAGTTCTTCAAAATTACATAAAAAGTACACAAGACAAATGCTACAAAATGTTGGCAAATAGATTGTTTTGATTAAATAACTCTCTTTTGATTGTTTGATCAATCTTAAAGTCGTATCACTAGAGGTGGCCAGTGTGTGCCTGTTGGCTGCCACTGACTGTTGTGTTAATGCTTTTTATGCTTTATTCTCTGTGATCTTGTGTGAACTTGAGCCACGAGAATTAAATTAAAAATTTATATTTTGTTAATTCTACAAAAGTTATTTTACCTATCCTTATGTCCATTGCTGCAAAGAAAATAATGTCAATGTCTGAATGAATATCTAGCAACTAAGTTGAAATTTGTTTTCTCATATCAAGAAAAAATTAAAAGTTAAGGTCATTCAAATAATATTTAAGGATTTCATTTTTCAATTGTTTTCCTTCTGCCATTCAAAAAGCAGTTTTGGATTAGTTTTCAATTCGATTACTTCCTATTATTTGTGTTTATACAAACTGCTAATTTCCATATATAATTTGGTACATAACATTTAATTTAAATACATTATGTTAGAAGTTACCCAAAAGAAATGATTACGAAGTTAAATTAAAGCTAAATATGTTAATAAGTCAGAAATAATTGAAAATTATAGAAACAATGAAAGCAGTGCTATGTTAAATAACACAAATAGAATCACAGTATCAGATATGCAAATGTATGACATAGACTGTAGAGGGTAGAATAAATGCTTATTTTTTATTGTCATTAATATCATATCCTTAATTACTATCCAATAATTGGTGAATTCAGGGGCCACTCAATACATCCCAGGCTTCTCTTCCTTTGTGTATTCTCTCATTTGAAATAATGTTCTCCTTTCTTTCTTCTTCTTCTTTTTTTATTTTTTTATTTCTGAGACATAGTCTCCCTCTGTCATCCAGGCTAGAGTGCAGTGGCACAATCTTGGCTCACTGCAACCTCCACCTTTTGGGTTCAAGCGATTCTCCTGCCTCAGCCTCCCGAGTAATTAGGATTACAGGAACGTGCCACCACGCCTGGCTAATTTTTGTATTTTTACTAGAGGTAGGGTTTCACCATATTGACCAGGCTGGTCTCAAACTTCTCACCTCAAGTGATCTGCCTGCCTTGGCCTCCAAAAGTGCTGGGATTATAGGCGTGAGCTACCACACCTGGCCTCTTTCTTCTATTTTTCCAAATTCTACTTGTCTTTCAAAATCCAATTTAATTTTTTTATTTCTTCTAAACACTTTCAGTCTATAAATATTTCAGTAGCTTTTTAATTCTTATAATATTGAATTATTCTGTAGAGTTGGCATTTATGTACTGCTTGTACATTCAATCTTTCATTCAATTAAAAAATATGTGTTTAATACCTACTATGTGCTAGGCACTAAGCTACTTGCTACAGACAGGACAGTAAACAAGGCAGATGAGGTCTGCGTCATGAAGCCTCCCTTGTCGCTGGAGAACAGAACTTTTCACATACTCAGTCATCATGCAGCATAGCAGTGCCAGGAGACAAAGACTTAATCATATGGGAACACACCGCCACTGAATTCAAACTCATTCCATGAACCTCAGAGAGGTTCCAGTGCCAAGAATGTAGCACATGAAGTTATAAACTACCTTTTCAGGAAAAGGACGACTTCAGAATGAGGAGAATTAAATATTGAAGGACATTCACTTTCTAATGAGAAGCTCTTACAACTTCTGATAGAAAGAATCCATGCCATACCGTTGCTTTTTGCCAGCAGTTAAGCCCACTTTAAACTCACAAGCTCCATGATAGTAGACAGTGTATTAAGGAAAAGCTCACTAAATATATGTTTAAATCGCAATGAATGAAAGCAAGGGTGAAAAGAATTGGGAAGGAGCTGGAAACTCAGTATTTGCAGAAGAAAGTTGTAATCCTAAATTAAAGGAATTGTTAGTTAGAAATAGTCTAAGTTGGGCATAGTATATCCCAAACTGCTCAGTTTTTTTTGTTTATATCTTTCACATAATACTATCCACAGTGGGAGAACAGTAGCAGAATTTACCAAGGAGCTTTATTGTCACAACAGATTATCAGAAAATATTCCTGACTTCTTTAGAAGATGTAAAGAAATACACTAATCTAGAAAATGTAAGTCTAAATATTTCTTTATTTGTTAAAAAAAGTTTAAAACATTTATTTTAATTAAAATTCCCTCAAAGATTACAAATGGTATTGTTTTGTATATTCATTTCTTACAGAGATAAGATATCTAAGATTATTGCCATTTTAATTGCTTATTTTATCAATGCATACAAGAGTGAATCACAAGGGTTTTCTCTCTACTCCAACTCTGTAATCTGTAATTGGTAAAAACGGACTGCCAAACTTATAGCAGCATCCGAGTCAGAAATGTGATTCAGTTAGAACAATCAGCCCACTGATAAGCAATTCTACCCTACTTTGGTTGGAGCATGTATTGCAAACTCCACAGAAAATGAAGAGTATGCATTAAAAATTAATTAAGAACTTAAACGAGTTCTACAAACAGTTACTATCATGTGCTGAAAACTGTTACAATTTTTCAAGCAATGCCCTAGAAAAATGAGAAGAGTAAAAAAGAAATGTTTCACCATGAAAAATGTCTTTGAAATAATCAAAATTCAAATATTTTCAGTAAATAAGCAGAAGTTAAATTGAAATTTACTGGCTCTCAGGATTCCTACACAGACTAGTTGTGTGCACAGCAGTTGAACCTACAAAATTTCCGTGGGCAAATGGACAGCAACCATGTGAAGCCACACTTTAAACTAGACAAGCCACAATATTGCTTTTATTCTCTTCCTTCTCTCAGATCTTATAATACCTAAGATGACAATGTCTATGACTACTTATGACATTTGAAGAGACACTCTTGAGTCTGGGTGACAAATCTCTCACTATATTAATTCACGAGCAGCCAGTATGGAAGTTGCTGACTCTACCTGGCTGCAGGCCTGATGTCTAGTTGGCTGAAATAGCTCTTTGCTGTGGCAGCATTTAAACCTATTTATACTTAGTCTGCTCTAAACTTGTCTCAGATAGAATGCTATCTTCAGTGACTTAATGTATCTCAAATTTTAGAAACTGGAATTGCTTTTTTATATAAGAAATTCCTGTGCAGACAAGGCACACTAATATTTCTTAATAAATAATGTAAACATTGAGCACATAAGATAGATGTCCTCATAAAATTAAAAATTCTTCAGCCTCCTTATAAATAGAATATTAATTTTCAAGAGAGTTATAACATGGATGGAGGAAATACATCTTTATTTTCACAAACTTCAACTAAAGTTCTGGTATTTTCTTCAAATTGTGAATACAGGCAACAGATCACAGGTATTAGTAGTACCTGTGACTTCCTCACCAATAGTAATGGTAGATATTTTAATATCCCATTATAATACTTTGGCTGTCTCAAAAGTATCATTTATGTTCATCACGCCTTTAAAATAATGGTAGTTACTTCATCCTCCATAAGTCTTCTTGTTTAACATATATTTTTCAAAGTCACTATTACAGATTTTTAAAAATATTTTAATAATTGGTATTAATTTGTTTCTAATTCATTCTTTCCTAACCAACATTAAATGCAGCTATTGCTATAAAACTACCAGAAGAAAATATTGAAGAAATGCTTCATGACATCAGAATGCACAAGGATTTTTTTGGATAAGACCTCAAATTCACAGACAACAAAAGCAAAAATAGACAAATGAGATTGCACCAAACTATAAAGCTTCTGCACAGCAAAGGAAACAATCAACAGAATGAAGAGACAATCTACAGAATGGTATAAAATATTTGCAAACTCTACATCTGACAAAGGGATAATATCCAGAATATATAAGGAACTCAAAAAATTCAATAGTCAAAAAAGCAAATAATCTGATTAGACAATGGGAAAAAGACCTTAATATACATGAGTCTTAAATGAGAGCATATACATGGCCAAGAGATATATGAAAAAAAAAAATGCTCGGCATCACTAATCATCAGGGAAATACAAATCAAAACCATGATGGATATCACCTCATGCCTGTTAGAATGGCTATTATCAAAAAGACAAAAGATAAAGAAGTGTTAGCAACGTTGTGGAACTAGGATAAGACCTCAAATTCACAGACAACAAAAGCAAAAATAGTATAACAAGTGTTATACACCCAGTAACACTGTCCCCTTGCAGACTGTTAGTGGGATTATAAATTAGTACAGCCATTATGAAAACAGTATGTCGGTTCCTCAAAAAAAAATTTAAACAGAGCTACCGTATAATCTACCAAATCCACTACTGGGTATATATTCAAAGGAAATGAAATCAATAGGTTGAGATATCTGTCCTCTCATGTTTATTGTAGCACTATTCACAATAGCCAAGATATGCAATCAACTTAAGTGTCCAAAAATGAATAAATGGATAAAGAAAATGGGGTCTATATACACAATGGAATATTACTCATCCATTAAAAAAATGAAATCCTGTTATTTGCAATAACATTGATAAGGCTGGAGGAAATTATGTTAAGTGAAATATACCAGGTACAGAAAGACACCTCATGATCTCATTCATATGCAGGACCTAAAAACATGTATCTCATAGAAGCAGGGAGTAGAACAGTAGTTACTAGAGAATGTGGAGGGGACAGGGGAGGTGAAGATAGGGAGAGATTGGTGGAGTATGAAGTTACAGTTAGTAGGAATAAGTCCTGGTGTTTCTTTGCACAGTGAGGTGAATATAATTAAAAATAATATGTATTTCAAAATAGCTAGCAGAGAGGATTTTCACTGATCTTACCACAAAGAAATGACAGATATTTGAGGTTATAGATGAGCTAATTACCCTGATTTGATCATTACACAATGTATACATGTATCAAAACATCACATTGTACCCCACAAATATGTGGAATTATTATGTCAGTTAAAAATAATTTAAAAAATAAAATGCAGCTATATTAAGCATGATTTTAAAATGTCTGAGTTATATTAAATACGATAAGGAATAATTTAGATAAATGCAGTAACTGTTACTAGATGCTGGCAAGCTAAGTTAGAAAAACAAAACTGCTGAAGTTGATGAACACAAAGTAGTCACCTCTCCTCTGTAACATGTGTGGAATACATCTATAGATTTATTAATATGTAGAGATGGAAATTTCTGATTTTTATGACTTCAGAGACACTGGAAAACTTTGAGGGACAATAACCTCTCTGACTCCTGAGTATTAGAATATTTTAAATTCTAATAGCAGAAGTTGAGTATAGTGGTTAAGAGTATGAATATAGAAGCTAGAATTGTTTTTTAATCCTGATTATTCAACATAATTTTTATGTGACATGGGTCTTCATTTTGTGGTCTGTAAAATTAGAAAACAAAGTATCTTCCTTGCCATCTTATTTTGAAGATTAAATGGATTCATATAGTTGGAAGACTTAGCACATGACATAGAAATAAACGAGGCCAGCACAGTGGCTCATGAATGTAATCCAGCTCTTTGGAAGGCCGAGACAGGAGAATCACGAGGCCAGGAGTTCAACACCAGCCTGAGCAACATGGTGAAACCCCCGTCTTTACTAAAAATACAAAAATTAGCCAGGCGTGGTGGCGTGCACCTGTGTTCCCAGCTACCCAGGAGGCTGAGGCAGGAGAATCGCTTGAACCAGGAGGTGGAGGTTGCAGTGAGCTGAGATTGCATCACTGCACCTCAGCCAGGGTGACAGAACGAGACTCCATCAAAAAAAAAAAAAAAAGAAAAAAAAAAAGAAACGAAGGAATGAATGAATGAATTAGTTAATATTTGGACTGGACACAAGAGTAGCAGTGCTAGTGGGAGTAGAAACAGAAATAGAATGGCAACAATAATAGTGATAATGTCATTCTTTAGAGCCGACTATATGCTTCTCTGTAAAGCAAAAACTCCTGGGCTCCTGGGATAAATTAAACTAAGGTGTTAGCATCCTAACGGAAATCTTTTCTTCAAGACAGAAGAGATTCCAGTGGAACTAGCTTAGTAGGACTCCTACTTGGAAATAGTAGAGACACTGAAAGAGGTAAAGAACATGGGAACAGAAGAAGTTTAAAAGAAAAATCTCACATATTCAAAAATATGCCTGGAATAATTATTGCCATGTTCTCCAAGATGATATAAAGAAATATTTATTTTATATAACTAGAGCATTGTGATGTTGTCGCAACTAACTGAATTAAACTCTGGGTGTGTTGATATCTTGTGTGGTTACACCTTTGTGAAAAGAAAATAAATCTTGGGGCCCCAGAATCACTTAGCTAAAGGGAAAAGTCAAGCTGGGAACTGCTTAGGGAAAACCTGCCTCCCATTCTATCCAGTCATCCCTTTGCTCACTGAGATACATGCATAACTGATTGCCTCCCTTGGAAAGGCTAATCAGAAACTCAAAGGAATGCAACCATTTGTCTCTTATCTACGTATGACCTGGAAGCCCTCTCCCCAGTTCGAGTAGTTCCCCCTTTGCTTCAAGTTGTCCCACCTTTCTGGAACAAACCAATGTTTATCTTACATATGTTGATTGATGTCTCATGTCTACCTAAAAATGTATAAAACCAAGCTGTGCTCGGACCACCTTGGGCACATGTCATCACGACCTCTGGAGGCTGTGTCATGGGCACACGTCCTTAACTCTGGGAAAATAAACTTCCTAAATTGACTGAGATCTGTCTCAGATATTTGGTGGTTCACAACTTGAAATGAAAGGATCAACTTTTCTTCAATTATTTGGCCAAGTACACTAGTACAATATAACAAAACTATGCAGATTACACTGCTAAGATACTGAAACGATTCTGAAAAAGCACTAAAAATGTGGTTTAATTGATTTACATTCCAAAATCCACATGATAGTCTTGGAGAAGTCAAATTCCCTATCTAGATTCTATGAATCACCTATATTATCTATACTCTTTTTCTGAAATAATGAATAAAATGCAAACAGTATACTCAAAATAACATTAGATATTCAGTAGCTTGTCAATATCAAAATAAACCTAACTTTGAAAACCTGTCTGATTACTACTCTAGTATAAGCAATTACAGGATGAGTATCCCTAACCCCGCAATCCAAAATCTGAAATGCTCTAAAATCCAAAACTTTTAGAAGGTCGACATGATGCTCAAAGCAAAGGCTCACTGGAACATTTCAAATTTTGGATTTTTGGATAAGGAATACTCAATCTGTGTTGTAAATCTTTTCAGATTATGGCAGTGGTGAATATGCGTGCAGAGGATGGGGTGGAGGTGGGTTTGGATGGATGCAGAGAGCTTACCATGAATTCAGTTGACCCTTGTCTACAACCAAGGCTCATTGCTCCCTAGACTCAAGTTAAAAGTGGACCCAGAATGACCACAGTCTTTTACGTAATCAAAGGAAGCTAGCTTCTTTTTATCTGACATTTTCCACAGCCTCTTGAACAAAATATTTATTTCCCTATTACATAGCAAAATTGTTAGATAAAATTTCTAGGAAGACATGTAGAAGAGCCTTAAGTTAGAATTCAGAAAAACTGAATTCATATCCTGACTTTTTTCTTAAAATACCATGTGAGCTGAGGCAAGAAATATAACCTCTTACTCTTACTTCCTTCATCTGTAAAATGAATAGCTGAGAGTAAGACCCCACCAACTCTAAAGTTATCTGAACCACTAAGCAAGATAAAGCAATGAACTAATTTAATTGTGGTCTTTCAGCATAACTAGGTTGCTATATCAGGAGGGCTCTCCTGAAACACATTATTTTTCTCCACTTCTGGCTTGAATACATTATGTTTTCTATCATGACTGCATAATGGATAGTCCTGAACACCTTCAATTAAATATATTCAAATTCCCTAAAGCATGCAGTAATCTTGATTAAAACATCAACAGTTTATTACAGATGGAAGAGTTCCAAAAGAAGATAATGCTCTTCAGGTAGCAGGTGTTCCTGCATTTTATTCAAAAGGCTGGTTGAAAAGATGCAAAGGTCTTTTGTTTCTTGTAGAGGCTAGACAGATTTTACCCAATGAAAACAAATTGTGGAAAACAAAGTCCATTTCAAAATTTCCCTGAAATTACTTTTAGTGTATTCATGTATACATATTACTCATCATTAATTAACCCCATCAGGGCCGGGCGCGGTGGCTCACGCCTGTAATCCAGCACTTTGGGAGGCCAAGGTGGGCAGATCACGAGGTCAGGCGATGGAGACCATCCTGGCTAACATGGTGAAACTCTGTCTCTACTAAAAATACAAAAAAAAAAAAAAAAATTAGCCAGGCGTGGTGGCCGGCGCCTGTAGTCCCAGCTACTTGGGAGGCTGAGGCAGGAGAATGGCATGAACCCGGGAGACGGAGCTTGCAGTGAGCCGAGATCACACCACTGCACTCCAGCCTGGGTGACAGAGCGAGACTCGGTCTCAAAAAAAAAAAAAAAAAAAAATTAACCTCATCAGGAAACAAGTGACTAGAAAATAGGTAAAATAGTGGGAGTAAAATTTGTGAAAAAAGTTAATTTCATGTTGTAAAACCCATTTTCTACTCTTGAGTACTTGTTTTATTTTTTGTTTTAAATCTTAGGTGGTCTGGAAGGTAATGCATTTAAATTTAATGAGAAATTTAATACTGAATATAAATCAGTTAAAAATGAAAAATGAGAAATATTAGCAAAAATAAGGATGCCATTTTAAAAATGAACTATTATAAAATTCAGAAAAAGATAGGGCCCAGTTATTTTAACTTAGATTAACAGCCAAACCTACTCCTTAGAAAGACATACACCCAACCAATTATGCAGACTTTCTAAACTTAATTTCAGAATACCTGAGTTCAAGTCATAGTCAATCCACTTACTGGTGACCTTGAGTTTATAACTTAGCTCATCTGAGCCTCTCTTGACTCACTCATAAAATGAAGGAGTGGAGTAACAGAGATTCTCATTGCTTCCCACAGGCTGAATCTCATGCACACAGTGTTTGGCTTGGTTGAAGCAGAGAGTGAGAGCCAATCATCCTACCTAGTAAACCCTCTGATCGCATACCAAACAAACTGTATTTAAAAAATTGTTATTCGTTCAAAAAACTTTAACTACATCCTTTTAAAGGTTATTTTTTCTCATTTATAACTAAAGCAAACTTCAAGAAAATGAAAAAATTAACATCAATTTCTCAATTTTTTTGATCCTCTTATTATTCACCCATTGCTTGACTGAAGACACAAAACTTACATTTGTTTCAGTTACATCTCTCTAATGAAAAGCAATTCTCATGTAACCAAAGGCAAAAAATACAGAAATAGGTAATATGGTACTGCTCTTTACCAAATGTTCTCAAAAGCAATAGCTTTGCTTTGTTGAGGTTTCTCTGAATTTACTTTTTTATTACAGGAGTCATTTAAGAATCATATATGGCCATTCTAAGAACCATGATTCATTTTGTTTTTTTCTAAAAAATATTCTATGCAATGTGTATAGATCTCGATAAAGGGGGATCTTCATTTCAATATTAAAGTCAGTGTGGAACACTTGGGGCTCAGGGTTGGGAGTAAACAAATGAGTTTTGGACCCAGACATACTTGGATTCAGGTTCCCACTCTGTCACTGACTGGGTATTTAGCTATAGGGTGGTAAAGTTATTTCTGTGACTCCTCTACCCCTTTAGTAAAATAAGGCTCCCATTATTTAACTCAGAGGGGTGTGTTAAGAATTCCATGAAATAATATAAGTGATGGTGTTCTATAAATGACATATTTATGGATGCATTGTTGTAGCGATCTATAATCAGTATTACCCCATATAAATGAGGCTACCAATTAATTATTGTTCAATGGCACATGCTTTTAAATCCGATTCCATGTATATGTTTCTGATTTAGATGACAGATGCTTCTTCAGGCTAGACTTGAACGTCATGCATGTAATGCACAATGGCCATCCCTTCGCAAGGGTTGTCCTAAATAAGGGTTGGCTCCAGCCCAGCCACAACCTCTGGGAGGCCACCACTTTTTTGCTTCATCCAGCAGTCCCTTTTCTGAAGATCTGAGAGTGACACTTGAAGCCTAAAACTTCAGTGCCTTGCTCTCAAGACTTTACAATCAGTTGGTTGAACTAGAATAATTTCTAATGAACAGCCAGTTAGCAGGAATCTTTCTGGAACTGCAAGACACTCAGAAAAGGAATCATTGTGGGAGGCTAGGCAAATGTGGCCAAGGAAAGTTCTGCAAAAGGTCGAGTCTTCCCGATTGGGTGCGACTCGGTGTGGAGGGAAAAGCCAGAAAACACAGAAGGGGGCCTAACTAAGAATAGACAGGGAGTGCCAAGCCAGAGGGAGCGAATGTGTATACTGGAACATCTTAAAAGACGAAGAGTAAAGAAAGAATTTGGAGGCAGAATCCTTGCCTTTATTGGGCTTACCATCTAGCTAGGATGCTTTCAAGCTAATGAGCAAGGTAAAATCTAGCATGATTCCACATGGAGACAGCCAAATAACTACTCTGTAAGGCTGGTTGAAAATACATATCTTATTAATCACCAAGATGAAATGATTGCCCTAATATTCATGAATATAGAATCCAAATATATTATGAGAGATTTCTTCACAATCAACGTGACTAAGTACAGGCATATACTTTTTAAGTGTGTGTGTGTGTATGTTTGTGTGTGTGCACAGTAGGAAGACAGGCTTTTTAAAATGCTGTTAAATTTCCCTAAGAATCAATTAGAGGAACCACAGGAATTCTATGCCATTGGTAGGAAGACTAATATCGCAAAATGGTTTAGTATTACACTTTCTAGAAATAAAAAGTTTGTTACTGTAACATAATTGAAATGTAAATACGACTGAAGCAAATAATCAAAGCAAACCCCAGAGAACAGTACAAAATCTCTAACATGGTGCACACCATAGAATCAAGTATCACATTTCAAGGGTGTTGGTGAAGTCCTCTTATGAGAACTTTAAGTGCTATATTTTTGTAAGTTTCCATCTTTAAATATAAGAATGATTTGCTGTGGTTCTTGCAACATGTATTTTATTAGGCAGAGTTTTCTGCATCATTATAGAAGAGTTCTAAGTTATAAAGTCAATTCTGGTTTCCAATAAAACATAGACTCTGCAGACATAAGCTGTTCATAGGTATAAGCTCTTTGGTATTCAGCTCAGGCATTTTCTATCAGTGCCAGGGCACTTAACCAAAGCTCATGTGTCATTAAAAAAAAAAGCAATGGTCTCCACAGCATGCTTTAAAGTAAGCTTTCTTGGAATTCTACCTAGATTCTTCAAATAAATACACACATACCTGCACGTGCACATATACATCTCCTTTCGGCTACTGTTTTAACTCAGTAAAGAGTAAAGGTGTTTGACCAAGTCTCATTAATATTAATATTTACTATGTTATTTTGTTCCCTGAACACTGTCACTTTGTTATACTAAATTAAAGCTCTGACAGAAACATCCAATTAATCCTTACTAAGAAAATGCATTACTGTGTCAGTTAATAAGCAGTTTCATGTAATCATACCTTGATGATTCTCCTGAGTAGTTCAGTCCTTTGCACAGTGTGCTTAGAACCAGAATGTCTATTATTACTTCCCTTAATGATTGCTCATCTGTGAGGAAAAATGGATAGCCGGTCTTCTTTCAGATGCACAAATAATTTATTTTCTTTTATTGGAAAGGAAAGGGAAGGAAACAACTAAATAGGAAGAAGAAATGTATGTGTCCTAGATTAATTACTATTATATAATGAGTCTCTGGGATTCAGTCATAATCACAGGATATGATGTTGAACTCAAAGCTGGTTCTCATGTCTCAGCTTACCAAACCCCATAGATCATTTCAGCCACAGGAGATGGCACCTTTGAAAAACAGGGGGCCTTCTCTAGCCAAGTCAACTCCCTCAGGCCACATGCCACCTATAGAGAGGGGCCAGGTGTGGTGGCTCATGCATGTAGTCCCAGCACTTTGAGAGGTTGAAGTGGGAGGATTGCTTGAGCCCAGGAATTTGAGATAAGCCTGGGCAACAAAGAATATAAAATCTCTACAAAAAATATAAAATTATTCTCTACAAAGAATATAAAATTAGCCAGGCATGATGGTGCATGCCTGTAGTCCCAGTTATTCGGGAGGCAGAGGCAGGAGGATCGCTTGAGTCCAGGAGTTGGAGGCTGCAGTAAGCCATGACTGCACCACTGCACTGCAGCCTGAGTGACAGAGCAAGACCCTGTCTCTAAAACAGAACAAAACAAGCTCAGAGGCATCACAGGCCATGTTCCTACCTTGATGAGAATCTGAATGGATCCTGTGGCCTTTGCAGATACGAAATACCAGAAGCTCATGGTGCAGGCTGCACTGGATTCTCGCCACATGGTACTCCTGAAGTGTGCTTTGTCACCCCGAAGGCCCACTGCAGTAGCTTCCAGATACATGAAGTGCCCTAGGAACAAGGACAGAATTCAGAGAAGAACGAAATAACAATGATGGGATTATTTTTGCATTTCCATCATAGTTAGGGTCTTTAATTACAATTCGTATGATCTGAGCTGCCAAAAGTATTTTCATTTGGAACAGAAAGAAAATCTAATAGCCTCGCCTCTAGCTTGCTGACAGAACAATTTCCAACTGTCTGTGCTTTTAGCACGTGCTTCACAGTATGCAGATTAACTGATCTGATGGGATATTTATGCCGTCGCATCAACAAGATAGCTACAAAAATTATTTTATAGATTTCCCAAACTACCAAGTGATTGTAAAATAATGTAAAGACTACCAATGAAATCTAAAAAAAAGAGTGATATGGTCTGCTTTTAAAAATTTAGTCATCTCTTGAGTGTGTAAATATAACACTAAGAAATTTAGTAAGTAACATGGGAAGAAAGGTATTCAGTTTTGTTCTTGCACATTGACATATCCATAACATTTCATGTATGTAGAGCTGAGTGTTTGAATGAGACTTTTGTCTTGCTTTCCCTGCCTTGGTCAGTTTTTCTTTTTTTTTTTTTTTTTTCAGTAGACCTATGGAATTTCAATATTTAGACTTCTTTGCCTATGACGTAGCATCCAGGGATTCAGGGTCACTTCTTCATTCTGCTACTGCCCTTTATTCCTTCACCAAGGAAAAAAGTTCCTTCACCAAGGAATAAAGTAACAAGCTTTATTCTGCTACTGTCCTTTATTCCTTCATCAAGTCTCAGCCACTCACTACAAAAATGAGCCATGCCCAACACCCTTAACATATGTGGCTTTAAAGTTAAATTTTCATGGCATCTCTATAGGTTTCAAACTCTTTTCTCTTCATATACATCATCTCCACAATCTCTGTGAGGCACACAGGTCAAATTTTATCATCTCAAAATGACAGATGAGGAATTTGAAAATCTGAAATTTAAATGACTTGCTAATGATCACATGAGTGGCAGAATTCAGGGTTATTGATTACAAGTGTGTACCATTTAGGAAAGATGTCTGATGGCAGCATACATTATCATCTAACTTCAATTGCTGAATTAATGATTAATATTGGATTTTGGCTAAAAACTGTTATGGTTTGAATTGTGTTTTCTCCTTCCCAAAAATATGCCAGAGTTCTAACCCCAGTTCTTATGAATGTGACCTTATTTGGAAATAGGGTTTTTGCTGATGATCAGGTTAAAATGAGGCTGTTAGGATGGACACTAATCCAATATGACTGGGTCCTAATGAAACAGGGAATATGGGCCTAAAAACAGACATGCTTACAGAGAAGATGATGTGAAGAATTAGGGAAAACCACCATACACAAGCCAAGGAACTAATGAAACTACCAGAATCTAAGAGGGGACATGGAAGAGATCATGCTCCCTCACAACCCTCAGAAGGAATCACCATTGCCAATATCTTGATCTTGAACTTCCAGCATGCAGAATTTGAGAAATAAATGTCTGTTGTCTAAGTCATCCACTCTGTGGCCCTTTCTTACAGCAGCCCTAAGAAAAAAAACACTCACTAAATGTTTGATCGCCTTGCAATACCATCGTGGTGGTCTCTTCAGAGCTCCCCAGTTGCTATCAGAAAAGACATTTTGATGTACATTGTGAAAATCATGTGAAAGCAATTACAACAATCTAATAACCTACCATTTTCATTTCCAAGTGTGTGGTCTTTGGGAGGTCTTAAGCTTTGATGAGAGCCAACCCCTAAAACCCAATCAAAGTTGTCAGCCTGGGAGTTTTGCCAGCCACACCAGCCTTTTTCAAAAGTACAGGAGCTACCACACTCATTTTCATCAGTATTATCTCCACAGTTATCTACGAAGTTACAGCTTTGTTCCAGCCTATAGCATTTTCCATTATGACATTCCCTATAGCCAAGTGGGCAGAAACCTAAAACAAAACAAAAGAAAACAAGAATGAGCGAACACTCCTAACACATTCAGTGAGGTCAAAAAGCAGTAAGAGTGGATTCATTTTAATCTATAAAGGAACATATTGTTCTTAGGAATTTGAGGTACCTGAACCCCATCTCTCTCTCTCCCACTCTGCTCCAGAGCTCTAACCTATAGAGGCTTATTCATGACTATGATTATTCACAAATGCTAAAAAAAAAAAAAAAGCATCACTTTATTGATCTAGGAAAGTACCCCTCCATCTCCCCAAATGCAACATTCCTTGTAAACTGTGTTCAAGGATGTAAATTATATCTGAGAGCCAATGTGAGGCCTTCTATTTTTTCATCCTGAAACAAAATCTTTAAGCAGCTAAGAGATCATGTATTATGTGGCATTTGGAAATACATTCCATTAGCATCCGTCCACTCTAATATTTTTCAGAAGCCACGATATGTAAGATACCTCCTTAGAAGCACGGCTATGCATATATAACTAATAACTGACACTACAACAGATTTTTCTCTAAAATGCATATTTATTTGTCTATAATTTGGACTTTTAGAAGCAATTTTTCTGCAATGCAATGCCAACCATAGAGATTTGTTTACAAAACATGAGAAAAAGCAATGCTTTTGAAGACCTGAGTTTGACCTCTAGTGCTAATATTTATTAGTAACATGACTTGGATCATACCAACATTTGATACATTTTAGTTTCCTTAGCTCAAAAGAGAAAAAAAGAGCAAAATCCTAGAGAAGTTAAGCTAATTTAAAAGAGTATTGTGTGTGTGTGTGTGTGTGTATATGTATATGTATTTGTGTGTGTATATATATCTATCTCACCAGTGCCTACAACAGTGCCTGGTCCTTACTATGTGATTAGTAAATATTAGTCAAATACATGAATGAGGGAAATAAAGTGCTTTGGAATGAGGTTATTTAGAATGTATATTGAAGGCATAATTATTATACTACTCCAATATTACAACAGAATTTAACTGTCATGGGTAACAATATTTCAATAGAAAAAGTTGTTTAGAAATCCAGCTTGGGATATCAGCTTCACATTTTTTTCTCTGACACTACAGGATCTGACATTTTTTTTTTCTTGTCTTCTCCTTCTTCCAGGTAGAGGAGCTGATAACATCACTCCTTGCTTTACTTCAAAGGTGGTAGCCCCACCCTGCCACATGAACCTCTGGAGGCAAGTTACCTGGTAGATGAGGGTTGATGTGGGTCAGAGGTAGGGGATGAAGTTCAGGTATTTATTATAAGGTTTTCTGGGAGCTGGAAACGGCTGGTGATACAACCTCATATAGAAGCTTGTACCTCCTGGATAAGTCTCACATTTTAGACAATAGATGGTCAAGAGGGAAGAGAGTAGAAGATGAAGATGAATGGAATGCCACATTGAAGCCACTGGAGAGGAAACGTATTATGAAGGCTTCTGGCAATTTTGAGTGTTATGCTGTTCCTGAACTGTTTGAGGTTGCCTAATTAGGTGGACTTTGTATTATGAAGCCATTGAAAATAAGCTTCAACCATGGACTCTGTCTATGACAAAATTTTTTTGGTTAATTATTAATATTTTATGAAATGAAAACACAACAGAGCAAAACTTGTGAGATGCAGCAAAAGCAGTACTAACAGGGAAGTGTATAGTGATAAATACCTACGTTAAAAAAGAAAGATCTTAAATAAACATCCTAACTTTATTTGACAGAAAACTAGAAGAAAAAGAACTAAGGCCGAAGTTAGCAGAACAAAAATAATTATAAAGATTAGAACATAAATAAATAATATAGAGAATAAACCATAGAGAATGTCAATAAAATACATGGTTCATTTTTTGAAAAGATAAAACTGACAGACACTTAGCTAGATGAACAAAGAATAAAGAAGACTCAGATAAATAAACTTAGAAATTAAAGGAGGAGTTAATACAACTGATTCCATAGACACATAAAGGATCATTGAGACTTCTATGAACAATTATACACCAAGAATTGAATAACTTGGATAAATGGATACATTCCTAGAAATTCCTACAGCCTACTAAGACTGAATCATAAGAAACAGAAAATCTGAACAGATCAATAATGAGTAATGAGATTGAAGTGGTAACAACCCTCCCATTAAAGGAAAGCCCAGAACCAGATGGCTTCAAGGGTGAATTCTACTAAATATTCAGAGAAGAATTGCCATTAATCCTTCTCAAACTCTTCCAAAAAATTGAAGAGAACATTTCCTAATTCATTTTATTACCTCAATACCAAAGCCATGCACAAACACTACAAAAGGAGAAAACTACAGCCAATATCCCTAATAAATATGGATGCAAAAATCCTCAACAAAATAATGGAAAACCAAATTCAACAGCACTTTAAGAGGATCATACATCATTACCACATAAGATTACACCTGACATGCAAGAATAGTTTAACATCAGCAAATTAATAATGTGATACCCCACATTAACAGAATGAAGAATAAAAATCTTATGATCATTTCAATAGATGCAGAAAAAGCATTTGACAAAATTCAACACCATTTCATAATAAAATCTCTTAAACTATACATAGAAGGAATTTACATCAACATAATAAAGGTCATATATAAAAAGCTCAAATAAAACATCACACTCAACAGTAAAAAATTTTCAGTTCTTTCTCTAGCATAAGGAGCAAAGAATTAATGCCCAGTCTTGGCACTTCTATTCAAACTAGTACTAGTAGTCCTAGCCTGAGCAATTAGGTAAGAAAAAGAAAAAAATGAAGCATTCAAATATAAAAAGAATAAATGAAATTATATATATTATATAGTATAATTTTATCTATACTATATATTATATAATATATAGTAAATATTATATTATATATACTATATATTATATTATAGTAAATATTATATTATATATACTATATATTATATAATATATAGTAAATATTATATTATATACACTATATAATATATAATATATAGTAAATATATTATATACACTATATAATATATAATATATAGTAAATATTATATTACATACACTATATAATATATAGTATATATTATATTATATATACTATATAATATATAATATATGGTAAATATTATATTATATATACTATATAATATATAATATATAGTAAATATTATATTATATACTATATAATATATATTATATAGTAATTATATTATATATACTATAATATATATTTATATAATACATATATAATACATATATTATATATAAGATATGTATTATGTTTTTTAACATATATATATAAACTCTTACAACTCTATAGGACAAAACTCAGGTAACCTGATTTAAAAATTGGCAGAAGACATTTCTCCAAAGAAGACATACAAGTGGACAATATATGTATATATGAAAGGATGCTCAACATCACGAATCATCAGAGGAATGCAAATGCAAACCACAATATCATCTCACACCATGCTCTCTCTTACCTGGAATACTTATCTTCCAATACCAGAATTATCATTCAGACCTTAAGTCTTTTTTCTTAGGATTCCCTTCTTTTACCATTTGGTCTAAGTTAGGTTCTACAAACTTAAATGCTATACATTTCCATAACACCTCACACTTCCCATATCATAGCACTCACCGCACTTTAATTCCTTGCTTAAATTATCTGCCTCTCTCAAAGTCCTGGAGAATGTACTATTTCCATTTTGCTGCAGACCCAGGGCTTAGCATCTAGTATCTATTTAATACTGAATAAGAAACAGACTTAAAATAGGCAGCCCATAAAGTTTTTGTTATTGGAAGAGATATTTTGATCATCACATGTAAATATGATTTACCTAAGTAATGGAAATAATAATAACACTTGTCTACCTTTCAGAGTTACAAGGATTAAAATTAGTTAACATGTAATAGACTAAGCAGCATGAACCATATAAGGTATGTACTTAGTAACTCTCAATTCATATTCATTATCAAAAAGTTATCAAAGGAATATAAATCATTCTACCATAAAGACACATACACATTCATGATCATCACAGCACTATCCAGAATAGCAAAGACATGGAATGACCCATATGCCCATAACTGTAGACTGGATAAGGAAAATGTGGTATGTATTTACCAGAGAATTCTATGCAACTATAAAATAGAATGAGATTATATCATTTGCAGAAACATGGGTGGAGCTGGAGGCCATTATCCTAAGTAAAATAACACAGGAACAGAAAGCCAATACCGTATGTTCTCACTTATCAATGGGAGTGAAACTTTGAGGACATACGGACACTAAGAAAGGAACAACAGACACCAGGGCTTACTTGAGGGTGGAGGATGGGAGAGGACTGCAGATCAAAAAGCTACCTATCAGGTACTATGTTGATTACCTGGGTGACAAAATAATCAGTACACCAAACCCCCATGATATGCAAGTTACCTATATAACAAACATTTCATCTAGATTAGTAAACTGTGAACATAGAGTTGTTCATACTATTCTTTTATTATCCTTTTAATGTCCATGGTATCTGTAGTGGTGTTCCCTACTTCATTTCTGATATTAATAATTTGCATAAAACATTTAATAAATTGTAGTAAGTCATATAAAGAATTTTGGTACTGAAGGTTATAAGAATCTACTAAAGAAAGAGTATACATCCTTTTAACATTTGCAGAAACACTGAGTAGCAGGAGTGGTACAGGATGAAAATCTTCTACCTGAAATAATTTTATCACTTAAGTATCTATGTTGTTAAACATTCTAGTATACTAACAGCTCCTACTCAGTGAGCCTTCTGATGAGTGGAGGTTGAGGGTTCCATATATTTATAATGACTCCCAGAGCAGACCAGGAAAATTAATGGAAAGAACAAAGTACATAAAGAAGAAAGCCCGGATCAAGACCTTTATCTGAATTAAACAGCAGGTGTAAATCCCAAGTATTTACTTCTACAGTCCTATATTACATAAACTCAAACATGAAAAATAAAACTTCTATTATAAAAATCACAGAGTTACTAAAATTAACTGACACAACTATGCCTTCTAGTTTGTGATTACATAATAGCAGATAAGCAAAGAATAAAACCATTCAGATATTCTAACTTTTATGCCAACGTTCCTTTTACTATGTCCATTTCTCTCCATTTCTCTAAGACACACATGCACACACACACTCACACATACACACACACACACGCTTCCATCTATCAAATAATATCAGATGTCATCCCATGCATCACACTACACTACAAGTAGATCAGGCCTGTTGTGAATGTCAAAATTCTATTTATTTTTACAGGTATTCAGGAAAAGACATCAAAACAACATACTGTGAGGATGATCTAGAGTTTTGGAATTTCTTAGCACAATGAAGTCTGAGACTCTTATATTATTAAAACAATCCTTAATTGTTAAAGCCAGGCAGCGTTTAAGAGAACAGACACATTCTTGACATTAAGGGTATAGACTGGAGTAACGTTTTGAAGTTCAATTATCTATAAGCTATTTCTCAAGTATACACACCTGAATATATACACATACAAATTTCGTAGTACCATTGGTCAAAATAATGTTTTAATACATACCACAGAATCTGTTAAAATTTTACTCAGTTGGAAATACCATTTATTCCCTGAACTCTCATGTTGCTTTTTGTTCTATAATATTAATGATAATCATTTTTATTGTATTTTATTTTTGAGACAGAGTCTTACTCTGTCACCCAGGCTGGAGTGCAGTGGCGTAATCTCGGCTCACTGCAAACTCCACCTCCCAGATTCAAGCAATTCTCCTGCCTCAGCCTCCTAAGTAGCTGGGATTACAGGTGCCCGGAACCAGGCCCGGCTAATTTTTTTTTTTTTTTTGTATTTTTAGTAGAGAAAGAGTTTCACCATGTAGGCCAGGCTGGTCCGGAACTCCTGACCTCAAGTGATCCACCCACCTTGGCCTCCCGTTGTGCTGGGATTACAAGCGTGAGCCACCGTGCCTGGCCATAACCCATTTTTCAATGAGGTTATAATGAAAATAATAGAGAATGCAATACATGATATATCTGAAAGGAGAGCTATTTAGAGACAAGACATTTGGCTAACGTGCCTTCAGCAGATCTTGTGAAAGACTTTGTCACCAAAAGACTCTATTAAGAACTATAAAGACACATGCACACGTATGTTTATTGCGGCATTATTCACAATAGCAAAGACTTGGAACCAACCCAAATGTCCAACAATGATAGACTGGATTAAGAAAATGTGGCACATATACACCATGGAATACTATGCAGCCATAAAAATTGATGAGTTCATGTCCTTTGTAGGGACATGGATGAAATTGGAAATCATCATTCTCAGTAAACTATTGCAAGAACAAAAAACCGAACACCGCATATTCTCACTCACAGGTGGGAATTGAACAATGAGATCACATGGACACAAGAAGGGGAATATCACACTCTGGGGACTGTGGTGGGGTGGGGGGAGGGGGGAGGGATAGCACTGGGAGATATACCTAATGCTAGATGACGATTTAGTGGGTGCAGCCCACCAGCATGGCACATGTGTACATATGTAACTAACCTGCACATTGTGCACATGTACCCTAAAACCTAAAGTATAAAAAAAAAAAGAAAAGAAATTGCTACAGAACGTTCTTTAGAAAGAAATCAAGTGATCCTAGAAGAAAAACCTAAGATGTTACAAAAAATTTCCAGTAAAGAAAGCAGTACACTTGACGGTAAATATTAAAAACGATGACAACAATAATGCCAAATTTTTATGTAATGTATCAAAATGTGGCATAACAACGAACCACAAGTAAATGGATAGAGAGGAAATGATTAAAACATTTTTAAATTCTATATAATGTTCAAAAGGATGATAAATATATTAAATTACTTTAAACCTTATAATATTATGTATGGACATTAAACTTCTATGGTAAAGACTATATAAAAATGTAAGAGGAAGAGAAAATTGGGAATTAAGAGAAACAGTAAATTGGGATTTTACTTAAGAGAGAAAAAGTGTGTAAAGTAAAATTCCAAACACTTTTAAAAGAAATAAGAACGTAAGCAAAAAATGAAACAAAAGAACTACTGAACAGCTGAGGGGAATAATTCATACAAATCACTTAGGGCCAATAGGTGTTGGAATTCCATCAGAATAGAGAGAATAAGCGGAACTCATGGTGTGGAATACTTCCAAGAACAAAGAGGACCATTTTGCAGTAATAAAGGGTCATTCAATCAAAAAAAAAAAAAAAGAAGGCTGGCCGCAGTGGCTCACACCTGTAATCCTAGCACTTTGGGAGGCCAAGGCAGGTGGATCACCTGAGGTCAGGTGTTCGAGACGAGCCTGGCCAACATGGTGAAACCCCGTCTCTACTAAAAATACAAAAATTAGCCAGGCATGGTGGTGCATGTCTGTAATCCCAGCTACTTGGGAGGCTAAGGCAGGAGAATTCCTGGAACCTGGGAGGCAGAGGCTGCAGTGAGCCAAGATCCTGCCACTGCACTCCAGCCTGGGTGATAGAGTGACACTCTGTCTCAAAAAAAAAAAAAAAAAAATTAAATAAAAATAAAACTTCAGTGTTTATCCATGTAATTACAACAAACACACACTGACAGAATCAAAAGGAGAAATAACCAAAACTGCAAGGTTATTTGGAAGTATCACCACCCTTCTTTCAGTTACTGATAAAACAGAAAGTAAATGTATGGAAGAAATGAACCCATGATCAAGCATACTGGTCTAGTTAACATTTACATAACACTACACCAAACAAGAACAGAATATACATTGTTTTCAAGGACGTGTGAAATAGTCACTAGCTGGACCATATAAAAGGCCATAAAACAGGTTTCAATAAATTTAGAAGAATTAAAATCATGCAGAGTATGCTATCTAAGCACAACAGAATTAAAATAGAAATCAGTATCAAATTAGGTATCTGAAAAATCACACAAATATTTGACAACATATTTGTAAGTAACCATTGAGTCAAAGAAGAAATAACAACAGTAGTTATAGTTTGAACCCTATGAAAATGAAAACTCAGCATATCAAAATTTATGGGCTCCAGGTAAAGCAGTTCAGGTAACATACAGCTATAAGTGCTTACATTTAACAAAACAAGATCCAAAATCAATTAACTAAGTTTCTATCATAAGAAGCTAGAAAAATAAAAGCAAATTTATCACAAAATAAGTAGAAGGAGGAAAATAATAAAGAGGAAATATCCATTAAAGACAAAATGAACAATTGTGAAAAACAGCAGTTCAACCAAAAGCTGTTTAGTTGCACATATCAGTAAAACTGATAAAACATCATCTGCACTGATGAATAAATAAATAAAAATAAGACAAAGATTACCAATGTGAAAAAGGAAAGACAAGATATCACTACATGTTGTATACAGTTTAAAAAGATAATAAAGGATTATTATGAGCAAGTTTATAACAATAAACTTGACAACTTTGGTGAAATACATCAATTCCTTCAAAAACAAATTACCAAATCCAACTAGAGGAAAAAAAAGGTGAACAGCCCTACAACTATTACATGGATAGAAGCCATAATTAACAGTCTTGTCACAAAGAAGACTCTAGGGCAAAATTTGGCTGATGAATTCTACAACACATGTAAACAGAAAGAATAGTAACCCAACATGTACTCTTCCATAAAATAGAGGAAGAGGGAGCACTCTCACGTGTATTTTATGATGTCAATATTACTCTAATACCAAAAACAGAAAAATACATGACAAGATGATAGACCAATATGTCTCATGAACATAGGCACAAAATTTTGTACTAAATTAGCCAATAAAGTTCTGCACATAAGACAGTACGTCATGATCATGTTCATGTCAGAGTGCAAGGAATTCACTTGAATATCAAGTAATATAAATAACCATAAACAAAATGAAGGGAAAATCACAAGATATTTTTAAATCAGAAAAAGACATAAACAAAAAATATTTGTCTTCTGAAATATCTGGCACACATCAGATCAAGAGGTAGACCATATACTGATTGATCACAGGCCCTGTGTTCTTTCAACTATGCATGTCTTAAGACTTTGCTGGTGCAGATTAATACTTCTTTCCATGGCCACCAAAAAGATGCTGACTGAATCTGGAAAATATTTGTTGATACAGTGGTATAGAAGGGGTTTTGACAACATATTCATTCAACCAAATCCACTTCTACCATGGATTTCATTTCATCATTATCATCACAAGTGCATGTGATAAATTACAGTGGAGAATTTATTTTCAATAATGCTTTTGGAAATGCAAAACGAATTCCCTTCTTCATTAATTGAATACATATTGTTTAAGCTTTGGTATGGTTCTAGTTCAAGATAGAGAGGTAGCTTTCATATAGCATAAAATCTAATACTGGCCCTCTAGAAGTGTCAAGTTTAGAGTAAAAAAACTGTATATATTTGAAAAGCTAAATGCATAATGTTTCTAATAAAGTAGGGACAGAAAAATGTCAATTAATCCAATTATGTTTTAAAATCTGTGCGTCCAGCTTACTTTAATCACAGAATTCTTGATTGACAAAAATGGTGAAAATTGTGAATGAAAGGGATTGGGATTTTATTGCTGGCAGTTATCATTGGTATTTCATAGAACTGGGCAAAGCTTTGTGCATAGAGTATTTTAAAATCCACTGAAAGGAAATTATATTTCATTATTTATAAAGTTTAGGTTTATTAATTTGCTTATAGAATACTGGCAATGCAAACAAAATACTCAGAAATAATAATCTATTAATTCCTGAAATCACCTCGTTTTACACCTGATATTTTCCTTTAATGTGTATGTTCATTGTAACAAATTTGTTCTTAATTCATTAATGGTTATAGGATTTGTATCAAAAATGAAAAAAAAATAATTATGACTGAGACTTATACTTTTCAGTTGTTAGTCATGCTTATAAGAATTTTATGTATCTTATTCAATCTTCACAACAATCTTATGAAGTAGTTCTGTTTAATAACCTCATTTTACAGATGAAAAAACTAACAAGCAGAGAATAAAACATCCTCCTCAATGTTACACAATTGAATAGGGAGCAGACCTGAGATCTGAATCTAGATAATTTAGTTCCAGAATCCATTCTCAATAACTTTGCATATTACCAATAGCTTAAGGGCATGAAATGTATTTTAGTAAGAAAATGTTAGTTTCTTTAGTAATAAAATGTTATATTATTTTTTACTTAATATATAAAAATAACCCATGCATTATTCCTTTCCTTTTTTAAAAACACAACAAAATAACAACCCATCTTTTCATTTTTGAAGTGATGTTACTATTCTCTCCACTTTGCAAAAGTTAACCAACAAATTATCTAGCAATGGAATTAAGGTGCTTGAACATCAGTTTTGAGCCCAACAGTTATGCATAGTTTTATTTATGCCTCAGCATGATATGTGGTAATAATATGTTATAGTTTGCATTGACTATTTTGAATGGAATAGAATCCTGTTCTAAGAATTGTACCACATAGTGTTTATTTTACCTTAATCATTCTCCTTTTACTTAATATAATTTGAAAAATAAAAGAGTCCTCCTTGCTATTCCTGTATAGTTTTTCCCAATAAATCAACTTAGTGCAACAGTCTTTTTACAAAAGAGGGAGTTCCTTGCTTGGATATTAAGGTGAACTAGAATAATGTATCAGCACTCAGGGAGGCCGAGGTGGTCAGATCATTTACTGTCAGGAGTTTGAGACCAGCCTGACCAACAGACTGAAACCCCGTCTCTAATAAAGATGGGGAAACCCCGTCTCTAATAAAATACAAAATTAGCAGGTGTGGTGTTGGGCACCTGTAATCTCAGCTACTCGGGAGGCTGAGGCAGGAGAATCACTTGAACCCAGGAGGCAGAGGTTGCAGTGAGCCAAGATCATGCCACTGCACTCCAGCCTGGGCAATAGGAGCAAGGCTCCCTCTTACAAAAAAAAAAAAAAAAAAAAAAAAAAAAGAATGTATCAACTCCTTGACTTTCAAACATTTTTTCCTCCATTGTTTGTTCAAATGGTACACAGTATCAAAATACATCTACCCAGCTACTGTGAGGGAAGCAATTTTTGATGTCTGGAGACCTCCCCCTCCTGTCTGTCCCACGTTAACAGCATTTTGCCCCTACACATGTAATTGGTTCTTAAGAGGCTCCTCAGAGAAGCAGGAACTCAAGTGCAACACAACTTAACCATCTTATTAACCACAGATTCATAAGCCCAGATTAAATAAAGGTAGAAATCTGAGGAAATGAAATATGAGACAGTTATAATTTGAAGACGCTGAGGGCAAGGAAAGGAAGAAAGATCTTCTTTAAATAGTGAAATCAACAGAGCTCGAAGTTTTTTTTGTTTTTGTTTTTGCTTTGTTTTGTTTTGTTTTTTGAGACGAAGTCTCGCTCTGTCACCCAGGCTGGAGTACAGTGGTGCAATCTTGGCTCACTGCAACCTCCATCTCCTGGGTTCAACCAATTCCCCTGCCTCAGCCTCCTGAGTAGCTGGGACTACAGGTGTGCATCACCACGCCCAGCAAATTTTTGTATTTTTAGTAGAGACATGGTTTCACCACACTGGCCAGGATGGTCTCGATCTGTTGACCTTGTGATCCACCTGCTTCGGCCTCCCAAAGTGCTGGGATTACAGGCATGAGCCAATGTGTCTGGCCGCCTGGAGATTTTTCTTTTTGGAAACTTTTTAATTGTAAATTCAAGTTCCTTCTAGTTTACAGGATTAACTAGTCTGTTTTTGTTATTGTTTTAATTTCATCGTGGTTGAGTTTTGTTAGCGTGTGGCTTTCAAGGAAGTAATTGGTCTCTCTCCTTATAACAAGGAACCAATTACTCTCACATCTTATAACAATGGTTCTCAACCAGTTATGTATCAAAATAATCAGTGTATCTTTAGAAAAATACAGATTATAAGGTCATACCTTCCAACTTAGTAGGAGAGCATGGCGGGTGACAGTATGGTGAGGATGTGTGTCCTTATCCAGGGCCTTGCAGGTGATTTTGGTATATCAACAAGATTAAGATCTATTACCTTAAAGCCCAATATATTGTTCTATAATTAAAGTTTTCTCCCAACTCTTTCTCACCACCAGAGAAAAACCCTTTCTCTATAATAAACACAACACTAGATCAAGCTACACTATCTTATATCTGGGTATACATTAGCTGTCTAACTTTGCATTCCTCTATTGTTGCAATTAGTGAATTTCACCTTGGCATGTATTGAGAAACATTATTTTAAAAAATGAAATATTAAAATTACCTATTGTACCTACTTTGGGGAATATTGAAAGTATATCAAAAGAAAATTTTATCAGATTCTCAACTAGAATAAGTTGTGTTTCTACTGACCTGGTTATTGGTTATGGTGATGAGAGTTCAATCTCATCATAATTTTTTCTTTTCCCTCCGGTCAATAAAAAGCTTTTATTTTCAGTCTATATCTAGAAAAAGTGCAGGGCCATAGCATCCCATGGCCCATTTCACTTTGTGACCATTCTTTCACAATGTATTATCATTGCACGTGGTAGGGACTAATGTTTGCCCCCTATATCTGTCCTTTGCTTCTGATTTACAATTCTTAGATGGTTACATGACTGCCCAGAATGAAATCCATTTCCCAGAAAAATGTAGTGTGATCACACTACTAGTTTCTGGCTAATATCATATAATCCCCCAGGTCCTGTGATGGTCTCCAGATACTTTTCTTAAAGGACAGCTGGCATGCACCTGTTGGCCAGTTTCTTTATTTCTTCATCCACCTTGCTACCTGGAAGGTGCATACCACCATTGTGGATCCTGAAGAGTGAAAACTGAAAAGGGCTGCCCAGGACACTGAGTTGCTTGAATCTTGATTCCATAAACCTTCAGTATATATGCATGTGTATGTATATGTGTGTGTGCACATGGGCGAAACTATACGCATGTCATTTAAGTGATACTTCAAATCACTTATGAAATAAGATGTGATACTAAATAAAATCACAAAACTGTTTCAAAAATTTGCATAGAACTTCAGGAAATAAACTAAGTAGGTTTGTTATAGCTTGCAGAAAGCAGCCTATAGTAATTATGCTACTGGGCTTTATATCAACCATCAGATTTTTAATGTGAACATTTATCATGTAAACTATTACACTGAAAATTTTAATTTATCTGAAACAGGCTATAGCATCAATAGGAATTGAAATCTGAGCTGCATACTGCAGCAAGATTATACAGTATAATTTCTAGAATATTAAAATGTTCTATGTATCACAAGAAAATGGATTTCTACATTAGTACTTCATTGTACTATGCATGCAGTCTAAATTACTAAGGCATTTAAAAAACAGTAATGTGTATTTATATATGCAGACTAAGTCATTGAAAACGTTAAAAAAGTAGCTAATGTATGCACATATTTAAATGAACTTTCTTTGGAAAGACAATAAAGATGCCAAACTTAAAGTCCCCTCACAAATAGCCGCTTAAACAATTTCCCAGCGCAAACAATAATTTATGCTAAGAGAGCAGTAAAGAACTGTATTTCATTTAGTTCTATTGGTTTTGCACTATTCAGGGTGAGAGAGAAACAGACCAGTCACAAATTGTTTTGAATTGATAAATGTGCGTTCTTGTATATCTAGTGAAAATCTAACCAAGAGAAAATTTCAGTTTTTCAGTTTCCAAGTTAAAGCCTGAGTTATACACACAAAACAGTGTGAAAACTGTCAAAGCTTCTTGGTTAATTGACCTTCATAATTTTTAGAAAAACACTGTTATGTCTTGCCTATGGATTCAAGGACAATGTAAAGTGAAGAATAGCACATATACAAGTATACACGTGTGAGAAACTTAATGACAAGACACATCCTTAGAAGGTTATATAGAAATGTTTTCTCTAGTATTTTATGTTGTCATTTTTTTCTTCTTCCATCCCTCCCTCTCTCCCTTCTTCCCTTTCCTCTTCCTTCCTTCCTTTTCTTTCTTTCTTTTTTTTGACAGAGTTTTGCTTTTGTCACCCAGGCTGGAGTGCAGTGGCATGATCTCGGCTCACTGCAACCTCCGCCCTCTGGTTTCAAGCGATTCTCCTGCCTCAGCCTCCAGAGTAGCTGGAATTACAGGCACCCGCCACCACCACATCTGGCTACATTTTTTTGTTGTTGTTTCTGTATTTTTAGTAGAGACGGGGTTTCACCATGTTGGCCAGGCTGGTCTTGAACTCCTGACCTCGTGATCCGTCCGCCCTCCCAAAGTGCTGGGATTACACGCATGAGCCACCGTGCCCGGCCCCTTATTTTTTTTTTTTTTTTTGTATTTAGCGTTTGCTGAAATGCAAGGAGGAAACATTCTGGAAAAAAAAATGAGAGCAACTTTTATTTTTCTGCTTTGTCTACTGAAATTTCATCAATGAATTATTTTTTCTCCAAAAGTGTAAATTCACACTTTCGCAGACTTTTCATCTTTAAAATTCACTTGAGAATAAGCATGGCCAGGGAACTTTCATTCACATGAACATCCATATTTATGTAATTATCTTCACAAAGATTATTTATGAGGAATATAATGATAGCGAAAAATATATGAGCTGATTAGTAATCTTGTAGTCTTGAGAAACCTGCTGAGCTTTTAAAAACTACACCAGTCTTACGTATTTGTTATACATAAGCTCTCTTATCCAGTTAAATTTACCTTTAATTTAAATTTTTATTAAAGTAATACATAAATGGAGTTTAAAAAATTGAATACTGGCTGGGCACTGTGGCTCACACCTGTAATCCCAGCACTTAGGGAGGCCGAGGCAGGTGGAACACTTGAGTTCAGGAGTTTGAAACCATCCTGGCCAACATGGTGAAACCCCATCTCTACTAAAAATACAAAAATTAGCCAGGCGTGATAATGAGCACCTGTAATCCCAGCTACTCGGGAGGCTAAGGCAGGAGAATCACTTGAACTGGGAGGTGGAGGTTGCAGTGAGCCGAGATTGCACCACTACACTCCAGCCTGGGTGACAGAGTGAAACTCCATTTGCAAAAAAAAAAAAATTAAATATTATTTCAAGAGGCCTATGTCTCATCCTACACTAACTCTATGGTACACTTTGGATAAAATCATTTTTAACACCTTTCTATTTTTCTGATATTTTCTGCATGTGTCTAAATATTTATAACGCTAATTTTTGATTTTTCAATTTTACCTTTGCCCTATGAGAGATAAGGATATAGGTCTTATGCTATTTCTTTCCCCAAGATGTATTCTCCCCTCAACAATCCAAGAGTTGTTATAATTTTTGTTTAAATGTATATCCATTGTTCATATTACTATAACTATATAAATATTGCAATTAAGTCATATAGTATGTTATATTTAAGTTCTCATACAACTATTATTTGTCTTGAATTTAATTATTTCCTATTTTTATTTAACGTAATTGTATAACTGAGTTACAGAACTCCTCTAAATATAATCAATTCAATGATGTAATTGTTCACTTGTATGTGTTCTGGAATATATTGCTTCAGTTTAGGGCTCCAGACCCAGTCTGGATGAGCTACCCTTTAGACCTTCTGTATACTCATATCTGTGGGAATTCCCTTTACCTTTCTCATTCATTTATTTCAGAAGTATTTACTGAGCTCCAACTATGACCCAGGTAGTAAACAAAGCAATTAACCAATTATCCCTAGTGCTATGAAGCTGAAATTATAGTGATAGAAAATACAAAACAATTATACAAATGTTTCATATACACCTTTATATATGCACATAATACATACTATGAGTGAATATAATTGTAAGCAACAAACTTTAAAAAGACAATTATAGAACAATGCCTTTCAGAAATAATATTTGCAAAAATTTCAACAAACTATGATTAGCTAAAATCTAGCAATATATAGAAGGGATAATAGATTCTGACCAAGTAGGGTTAATTCTAAGACTGTAGGCCTGGGCCAAGATTTGAAAATTGGTTAGTGTAATACCCACAGCTAGATATAAAAGTAAAAAAGAAAAAAACAAAAAACAAAACAAAACAAAACAAAAAAACATAATTTTCTGTATAGATTCAAAAGGTGATTTGACAAAATGTCATGTTCAATGATGATAAAATCTCTTAGGATATTGAGAATGGAAGGAAACTTCCTCATACTGATAAAGGATACTACATAAAAAATGTACAGCTAATATGCTCCATGGAGAAAGGTGGCTTTCCTCTAAAATCAGAAGCAATGCCAATTCTGTTTTTCTTCTTTTCTTTTGTTTTTTAAGAGACAGGGTCTCACTGGGTTGCCCAGGCTAAAGTGCAGTAGGGCCATCATAGCTCCCTGCAGCCTCCAACTCCTGGGCTCAAGTGATCCTCCTGAGAGCTGGGACGACAGGTGCATGCCACCACACCTGGCTTTTTCTTTTTTTTTTTTTTTTTTAATTTCGTAGAGAGAGGGCCTCACTATGTTGTCCAGCCTGGTCTAAAACTCCTACCACCTCTTAAAAATATGGTCTTGGATATCCTATCCAACAATACCAAAAAAAAAAGCCCTAAATTTTGAAAAGGAAGAAAAACACTTTTTTAAAAATCACAGCTTTTATAATTTTAAATTATAAAGAATTTATGAAAAGGTGACTATTAAAACTAATATGTGGGCCTGGTGCAGTGGCTCATGCCTGTTATCCCAGCACTTTGGGAGGCCAAGGCAGGCAGATTACTTGAGGTCAGGAGTTTGAGTCCAGCCAGACCAATGGGGCAAAATCGAGTCTCTACAAAATAAACAAAAATTAGCCAGGATGGTGGTGTGTCCCTGTAGTTTCAGGTACCCAGGAGGTTGAGACACAAGAATCACTTGAACCCAGGAGGCAGAGGTTGAAGTGAACTGAGTTTACACCACTGCAGTAAACCCTGGGCAACAGAGCCAGTGAGACTGTCTCAAAAACAAAACAAAACAAAACAATATGTGAATTTAGCAAAGCTGTAAAATACAAAAGTATCATATAAAAATTAATTGTACTTTTAATACAGCAAAAAAACCAGTATGACTTAACGATAACATTAAAAAATAAAGTAGAGACAATTTTTTTAAAAATATAGACAAGATCTATACAATCAAACTAAAAAGCAGCACTGAGACAAATGAAAGAATACTTGAACAATTGAAGAGATATATCATGCCCATGGATAGGAAAAGTCAATATAATTCATACACCAATCCTCCCAGATTAACAGATTTAATAATATGATAATCAATATCCCAGTAGGGTCTCACATTTATATAAAAATATATAGGTCACAAAATCGGTAGTAAAATAAGGCAAACAGATTGATGAAAGAGAACAAAGTACCAGTTGTAGATCTACAGGTATATAATTAATTTTCAACCAAATCTTCCAGGCAATCAATAGGTAAATGAGCGTCATTTCAACAAATGACGCTGGAACACCATACATGACATTAATTCATGATGAATCAGAGGCCTATATGTAAAAGCTAAAACTCAAAAACATCCAAGAAAATATAGTAGAATATCTCTGTGACCAGGGTGGACAAAAATTCTTTGCAGAAGCATAGAAAGCAGCAACCATTATAGAAAAAGGTTAATAAATTGTATGTCATCAAAACTAAACATTTCCAATCATCAGAAGACACAATTAAGAAAATAAATAGGACACTTAATGAAGAAAGTAATATATCAGTAATATATATAATGATACTGGCATCTAGAGTATATAAAAAATATCTATAACTCAATGTTAATCAGACAAATAGATACTTTAACAGATACTCCATAGAGGAATATGTGTGTGTGTGTGTGTACTTATATATATTTAAATATATGTGTGTATTTGTGTACTTATGCATATTTGAAAATATGTATTTTTTTTAAATATATCTGTATACTTATGTATATTTAAATATATTTATGCGGCTATATTTATATGGATATATTCACATATTTGCATATTATATGTAAATATATTTAAATATTTGTGTATTTACATATATTTAAATTTATATATAAACGCACACAATGATACTTCCATCCAGAGTATATAAAAAAACTATATCTCAATGTTAAGCAAATAGATACTTCAGCAGCTACTCCATAGAAGAATGTGTGTGTGCATTTATATATAAATATATTTCAATATGTTGTATATTTAATATACAGATATACAATATATACATATTTTATATTTATATATTTTATTATGTATTATATTTATATCACATAATATATATTATATACACCATAAATGTATACAACATAAGTGTATATTTAAATATAAATATATTTATATACAAGAATTAATATTCAAATTTAAATATTAGCTTATATATAATATATTAGTTTATATATAAATATTAGTTTATATATAATATTAAATTTAAATAATTAATATTTAAATGTTATATATAAATATATTTAAATATATATTAACACATACACAGAGGAATAATAAATATATTCCTCTGGAGTATCTGCTAAAGTATCTATTTGTCTGTTTAACATTGAGTTACAGATATCTGTTATATATACTTGATGCAAGTATCATTATATATATTACTGATATATTATTTAAAGAAATATATTTAAATTACATACACACACACACACACACACACACACACACAAACACACACACACACACACATACACAAATCACCAAAAAGCACAAGCAAAAAGCTATCAGGAAAAAGCGAATTGAAGTCTACGAGGAAAACACCAAAACACTGAGGAAAGAAATTGAAGAGGATACAAAGGAATGGAAAAACATCCCATGATCACTGAGCAGAATTAATATTGTTAAAATAAGCATACTACATAAGAAATCTATAGATTCAATACAATTTCTATAAAAATATCAATGACGTTCTTCACAGATATAAAAAAACCTTAATACTGATATGGCATTACAAAAGACCCCAAATAGTCAAAGCAATCCTCAATCAAAAGAACAAAGCTGCAGGCATCACACTACCAAACTTCAAAATACATTACAAAGCTGTAGTAACCAAAACAACATGGTATTGGCATAAAAACAGAAACATAGACCAATGGAACAGAATACAGAACCCCAAAATGAATCCACAATTCTACAGTCAATTGATTTTTGACAAAGGCACCAAGAATAGACACTGGAGAAAGGACAGTGTCTTCAAATAAATGGTGCTAGGGAAACCTAGATATCCACATGCAGAAGAAGGAAACTAGGCCCCCGCCTCTCAGCCTATACAAAATTAAAATTGATCAAAGACCTAATTTAAGACACAAAACTATAAGCCTACTAGAAGAAAACATAAGGGAAATGCTTCAGGAGTTTTGGCTGGGAACTCAATTCATGAGTAAGACCAAAAAAGCACAGGCAAAAAACAAACAAACAAAAATAAAACAAAGTAAATACATGGGATTATATAAAAATAAAAAGTTTTAGCATAGCAAAGAAAACAATCAACCGGGTAAAAAGACAGCCTGTTGAATTGAAAATGTTGCAAACTATCCATCCAACCAAGCACTAATATCCAGAATATATGAGGAAAACATATATCTCAACAGCAAAATAATAATAATAATACTCCAATTTAAAAATAGGCAAATGATCTGAACAAACATTTCTCAAAACACACAGAAATGGCCAACAATTGTATGAAAAAAATGATCAACATCACTAATCACCAGGGAAATGCAAATCAAAATCACAATGAGGTATCACATCACCCTTGTAGGATGGCTATTATACAATAAGACAAAAAATAAATACTGGTGAGAATGCAGAGAAAAGAGAACTCTTATACACTCTTCTTGAGAATGAAAACTAGTGCAGCCACTACGAAGAACAGTATGGAGGTTTCTCAAAAAACTTCAAATAGAACTGCCATACAATTCCCCCATGGGCATTTATCCGAAGGAGGAAAAATAGTTAGTACATCAAAGAGATATATGCACTCTTATGTCTACTGCAGCACTATTCACAATAGCCAAGATAAGAAATCAGCCTAGGTGTCCAATAACAAGTGAATGGATAAAGAAAATGTGGTAAAAATATGCAATGCAATCTTATTCAGCCATAAAAAGGCAAGAAATCCCATCGTGAGCAGCAACATGGATGGAACTGAAGACATTATGTTAAGTGAAATAAGCCAGGAATAGAAAGTTAAACAACACATGTTCTCACTCATATGTAGAAGCTAAAATAAAGTTGATCGCCTAGAAGTAAACAGTAGAACAGAGGATACTAGAGGCTTGGAAGGGTAGAAGGAAGAGGAGGATAGGGAGAGTTTGCTAAAGGTATAAAATTACAGCTAGAGAGAAGGAGTAAGATCTAGTGTATTACAGCACACTAGGATGACTATAGCTAACAATAATATATTACAGTTTCAAATAGCTAGAAGGAGGATACTGAATGTTTCCAATACAAATAAATAATACACATTTGAAATGGATATGCAAATTACCCTGATCTGATCACTATACATTGCATGTATTACAGTATCACTATGTACCCCATAAATAAGTACAATTATGATGTGGCAATTTAAAAAAATTTTAAATGCAAATTGGAAGCACAATGCAAGACTTCATGCCCACTAGAATTGCTAAACTTAAAGACACTGACAAACCAAATACTGGTGAAGATGTGGGGCAACTACAAATTTCATACACTGAAATTTGCCAGTGAGATTATAAAGTGATATACATATTTTAAAATTGTTTAGTTATTTCTTATAAAGTAAGACATGCTTCTGGACCCAGCAACCAAAGTTCCAGGTACTTACAAGGAGATGTGTATATACATTTTCACAGCAGCCTAATGCACAAGGTCTAATGGTTTGAACCAACCCATATGTTCATCACCAGAATGCATAAGCACATTATGAAATAGTCATACAATAAAATGCTATTCATTAATTTAAAATAAACAAGTAAACAATAGAACAATATGGATATGTTACAAAAATATTATGTTGAGATAAAGGAGTCAGACATGCTAGAAAAGGGGTCTCCAAACCCTGGGCCACAGACTGGTACCAGTCCATAGCCTGTTAGGAACTGGCCAAATAGCAGGAGGTGAGCAGCGGGCAAGTGAGCTAAGCTTCATCTGTATTTACAGCTGCTCCCCACCACTCACATTACCACCTGAGCTCCGCCTCCTGTCAGATCATCAGCAGCGCTAGCTTCTCATAGGAGCGCAAACCCTATTATTTGCTGTGCATGCAAGGGATCTAGGTTGTGTGCTCCTTATGAGAACCTAATGCCTGATGATCTGTCACTGCCTCCCATCACCCCCGGATGGGACCATCTAGTTGCAGGAAAATAAACTCAGGGCTCCCATTGATTCTACATTATGGTAAGTTGCATGTTTATTTCATTACATATTACAGTGTAGTAATAATAATAGAAATAAAGTATACAATAAATGTAATATACTTGAATCATCCCTAAACCACCCCTTCCCCCTACTCCCCAGTATGTGGAAAAATTGTCTTCCATGAAACCGGTCCCTGGTGCCAAAAAGGTTGTGGATCGCTACTCTAAAATTCACACAATTGATAGGAAGCTCATGACAAACAAATCTAATGTATGGTAATAGACATCAAAATACTGGTTGCCTCTGAGTGCTGGGGTGGAGGGCAGTATTACCGGGAAGGAGAACAGGAAAGTTTCTGGGTTGATGTAGATGTTCTCTATTTTGGTGGAGTTGAATTTATACTGGTCTGTATTTGTCAGAATTCATCGTATTGTATACCAGAATGAAAGGATAAGGTGAGAAGATCCAAGTAAGTCTCAACAGAGATTCGAATGAGAGAAAGCAATATTCAAAAAACATAGTAGCTTGTTTTTTTTTTTTTTTTTTTTTTTTTTTTTAGAATTTATAAAACATGTCAATTATCAGACTGAGAAATCTTAATGAATCTCAAACAGGACGAATAAGAAACCCATTCTAATACACATCATAGTATTGAGTGGAATACCAGAGACAAAGAGAAAATCACAAAAGCTTAAAAGGAAAAAAAAAGACTTTGCTTAAAAGGTGTGACAATTAGATTCAGAGCTGATTTCTTGATCACAAAATTAGAAACCAAGAGACAGTGATAAAATGTCTGTCGAAAATATCTAATAGAAAATAACTTCCAACCTAAACCTGCAGTATGTCCAGTTCAACTATTTTCAAACACTCTGCTGAAGTAAAAGCATTTAAGTTAATTACAGGTAACCACAAAAAAAATCATCACTAAAAGCATTTCTTAGAGTTAGCATATTTAAGGAATGAAGAAAATAATCTGAGAAGGCAGAACAGAGATGTAAATAGAGACAAATGAGTAGGAAAACTAGATCTAAAAATTTTAAGCATTTTCCTTTTCATTTTATTTCATTTTAAATTAAATATATTTCATAGAGAAAACATGTATGTGTTTTCATTTTTATGGTTTGACACAAAATTTTATATAAACAATTTTAAAATTTTAAATGACATTCTTTTTAGAAATGTTATTTTTGTAATCTATTCATGTATCTGTGAAAGCAGATGATGTGGTGGCAGGTTGGGAAGACCAAATATCAGTTGAAATAATAGCACTCAGATAATATGCTAATCCCCAATATTCTTTCCAAAGAAATCAAAGAAATGGCTTATGTGGAAAGAATCCTCAATTGAATTAAGGACATTTTCTTGGAACAATGATAGAGTTAAAAATTAAATTATTTTAAACTGCACATCTCACCCCTATTACATAAGTAGAGTACAGCCAATTGGCATTTCAAGTGAAGCTGAAGTTTTCTAACAAATTCAGTTCATTGGGATATGTAATATATTCAGTTTCACACAATAATATTTTTCTTCCAAGAGAAATGTAATGTGTTGTTTCACTTACACTCAACTATTCAAAATAGATTATCATATGACCATTTTTGGTTTTCATTTAACTAGAACATATTTTAGGAGCTCACACGGTAAAAAATAGTTTAGTTTTAGCTTGATAACCAAGATAATGCCAATAATTCTGTAATTTCAAACTTGCCTTATATTTCAGTAAAGATTAAGTTTATCAGAAACACAAACACATATATTACTTAGGACATTAAAAATGTAGTCTTTTGGTTTTTAGAGCTCCTAAGAAACAACCAAATTGTGAGTGCTAAGGAACATATTTGTGATACAGGAGCATATTTTTGGGAATTATGCAATGATTTCATTCCTACCAATCACTTATAGGAAATGAGGTATTCATTTTAAGTTAGCATATCAAGTAATAAATTTAAATCATGTCAGTTGTTATTAAACAATTATATTGCTAGGTGCTACCTTTGCAAGATCCACAGAGCATCACCCTCAGTTAATTTCATCCTTGACACTGATCATTATGATCCTTATATTTTTATTCTAGAAAAGTGACTTCCAGTTATTTCTTGTCCTCTAATGTAAAAACTGGTTTTCCCTTCCTCCTCCCATGCTGATATTTTTTAACTTTTTTGGCCCCTTCACAATCCTTTCCATCATGCCCTAGGATTCTGTGTTTGTAAACAAACTCCTTCATATTCTCAGGGCCTTCACAAAACACTACTCTGTCTCTTTTTTACTGCAATGCAATGCAATATTTTCCACCCTGGTTGCATATTAGAATCACCTGATGATCAGTCCTCAACCACAGAAATACTGACTTATGGGACACTGGAAGTGGGATGTCTTGGGAGTTAGAATTTTTAAAGAAATTATTGATGATTCTTTGGAAGCCAGGGTACTATATTCTGGCTCTTCTCACAGGACTAACCCTCCTTCTGTAACTCCTAGTCTCATCAAGACTCATTCATCCTTTAAGACCCATGTCTCCCACTTATGAAACTTCCAGTTGCTTCTTATTTATTGCCTTCTCTCAATCTCCTGGTCAACTCTGGCATTCTCTAAGAATTTGGGCCATTTCTTATAGTCTCATTTCACTACAAGTTTTGTCATTAGACAAGGGATTTCAAGGTTGAGGAGGAAGACACACACAGTGCAAAATTGCTCTCATAAAATTCACCACTGCCTTGCACATTGCTAAATACAATGGCCAGTTTCAGACCTCATTTTGTTTAACCCAGCAGCAACATCTGACGTAGTCACTCCTGGGTAATACTCATTTTCTTTTGGCTTCCAGAACACTGTTCACCTGATCGTCTTCCTTTCACTCTGGTCTCTCTATGTCTGTTTTCTTTGTTACCTTTTCTTTATCTCTTGACCTCATAATGTTGAATGTCCCAGGGCTTAGTTCCTGGTTCTTTATTTTTCTCTGGATCTTCTCTTATCCTTTATTATTCATTCTTCAAGGAATAAATGTCTATTCATTCTTTGATGATTTTATATGCATATGACTTTAATTCTGACAACTCCTAGATTAATGTCTGCCTCTCAGGCCTCCCTCAAAGCTTAGATTTGTATTCAAATGCTGAGTTGACATCTGTACGTGCCTAGACGATGGACATTTAAACTGAGCATGTCCAAATTGAATGCCTGAACTCTCCCCCATGAAATCTGCTCCTCCCACAGTCTCCCTCACTTCCTCTGATGGCAAATTCATCCTTCAAGGGCCTCAAATCAAAAATCTCTCTTAATTCCTCTTTTTACCTCTCACCTCACATCTAGTCTTTCACTTAACCACCTCTTGCTATCTTCTTTGCCACCATACTAGTCTATGGTATTATCATTTCTTGCTTGCATAACTTCAACGTCCTCCTAAGTAGTCCTGCTGCTCTTACCTGGTTATTCTGAAATCTCTCTACATTACAGCCAAAAAGATTCTTTCTAAATATAAGTCAGATCCCATCACTTGCAGGGTTTTATCCATTTTGCTCAAAATTAAAACCAAAGCCCTTGTAGTAACCTACAAAACCTGCCTCCCCATCTCCTCTCTGACCTCCTATCCCACTACCTTCTTCCAGCTTTAGTTTCTCAGCTACATTGGCCTCTTCTTTGTCAGGCATGCCCTGTCTTGGTACCATCACCTGGGATGCTTCCTATGTGTGGGATTCTCTCTTCTCTGATGTCTGCTTAGCTAATTTCCATATCTCCTTCAAGTCTGCTCAAATAACCTCCCATGAAATTACTTTTTGTCTTTGCTTATCTGTATTGTTTACATGACCTGATTAGATTTGGAGGGAGTGAGGGTATGTTACCATTAGAGGAACATTACTAGTAATACATGGCACAAAATAATACTTTCAATATTATCTACAGTTACCAGGAAAGAAGTATCCATTAAAGGCAAAGTATTAGAATACCAAATGGTGGTTTCCATAGCAGAGTGAGCGGTATAAGAAATTCAAGTATTATAGGAGTAAATTGGATACACTGAAGTTGATAACCAGAGAGTTTATAAAAAGAAATAATTGGCTCTTAAATTCTTGACTCACGGGCTGGTCAGAAATTCAGAGTATTGCTATGATAGCCCTAAAAGAATTTCTTCTTGCTTGTAGGCACAAAGCTGACGCAGGCAAAAATCAGACACAGGATTTGACTCATCAGATTGCAGAATTAGAATAAAGATTAAAACCAAGCCTGGAAGGGTCCTATAAGTAAAATTTGGGGCACTTTCTTGGGAAAAAAATTTGAATCTTTAGAATCAGAATGTCACATCTAGAAAATTTATACAACCACAAGTGATTCAAACAATAAAACCGAACTTTTGATAAGAAATACTGGGGTTAGTCAGGGTTTAAATGCAGATGATCTAAATCACCATAAATATTTTAAGCAGAATGTAATTTTATGGAGAGAATTTTACATAGATAAAATGTTGAAATGGTTAGAGGAGTGAGCTCTATTGAGGTCTTCCAGAAATGGCTCCCAGAATTGGCTCTCCATGAAACCGACTACCAATACAGAAGTCACAGAACATCTTTCTTGATGACTTCTGGGAAATTAGAGATCTTCTGAGTTTAACTAGGGATAAGCCAACATTCAGTTAAATATCCTAGTTACGTAGCACATAATAATGAAAAATAGTAAGTTCCTTTATTAAGATGTAGGCTTAGCTGCTATGCCAAACCACAAGATAGCAGTGAAAAGGTGAGAGATTATTCTCTTTTTCACAGAACAATATGAGCTAAGAAATCGTAGGCTGATATGGCAGCTCTTTAGTGTCTGGGGGATGGGAACCAGACCCCTTCTACCATGTTCTTTGCTGAAGAGGCAATTCTTCAAACTCATGAACTGAGATCAAAGCTTGAGCTCCTGCCCTCACATTCACATGCTGGCCAGTGGGAAGGAGAGAAGGGAAATGGAGGGAATGCCTCTTCTGTTTAATTGCACAAACTACAGATTGTGTATAGTATATGTTCACATTCCATTGGCAAAATATATTCACATGTTCCACACTGGTGATAACAGAGACTGGGAAATAGAGTCGTTACTCTGTTTGGCTATGTATCTATATAAGTATTGGGAGTTTTATTACTACAAGAAACAGAAGAGAATGGCTGTTGAGGAGCAAATAGCAGACTACCACACCTCCAGTCTTGGGTGATTTGATAAAACAATGACAACTTGTTTAGGCAATGGTGCTTACTTTTATGTAGTTAATTCGTGTAATAATGAGACCATAGTAAAGCTATATGAAAGAATGAATTTCAAAAAAAAAACTTCACTGGTTACCTTAACCAGAGATTTTAAAATAACACTATGCTACTATGAACAAATATTGCAGTACAATAATATGCAACTTAACATTATTACTATTTTCTACTAAATCATTCTATAATTTTCATACATAATGATGTCATGCATTTTTAAATTGATGCACTGGGTAAATAATGTGGGAGAAGCTGCTGTGTCAATATTTATAAGGCTGTTTACTATGTGTTGTTATATTCAAAAGCAATTTAAGTATATTAAAAATATTAGCTAGTATTTCCAGGAGTGTTTTCTATGCAGGCCATACAGAATTGTATACAATTTCTGTACTATAACATCTGAAATTGGAAGAAAGAGGATAGGTAAAATATAGTTATCACCAGCAATAGAGGAATTTGGGAATGAGAGTGAGCAGGGATGGGTAGACAATCTAGCTGCCATAATGAAGAAATTTTAGTCCTTAGGACAAATATACAAAAAAGCAGGTTTCCAGGAAAATATCTTATATTTAAAGGAGAGAGAGGCTGTGGAGCTATTTAGGCTACTTATCATTAGATCCACGAACAGAAGATAAGTATTTTTAAATAGACCTAGGTAGCAGAAAATAAACAGAGCTTTCAGACATTAAAAGGCCCAGTTCATCCCTGGCCATTCAGAGATATGAAGTTTCACAAGTCCAAGTGCTGACTGAATATATACACCATCATGCCCCATGGAGAATTTAAACAAAGTATACCCCCTACTCATATACTTTTAGTAATGTATTCCTGAAAGTCAGATGTCCTGCTTATATAAATGAAATGCTAGATCCTAGAGGCAATTTCCCATTATAATTATAATAATTATTTTAATTTTTCTCTTTTTAAATTTCCCATTATGTAAATGGGGATAATTATAAGGTATTCCATATCTACCATCATTCTAAGTTCTTAAAATGCAGATGAAATCCAGTGAAACTAATAAAGGTGTAATGTTTATCATGGCATTTGCAAGGGCCATAAATTCTTTGAAACCAGTGATGTCTATCCGTGTGATGAGCTGGTTTGTTGGGTCTTCACTGCTGTCTTCTTTAGACTAACATTACATGTTTATATAAATAAACTTGGTAGTGAATCCCTCAGTTACATTTTCCAAGAGTTCTTTAATTATTTTTTTTTTCATCTACTTCATCAAAGCCAGCTCTCCTGGGTCAAAATCCTGTATTCTTTTTATGTTCTCCTACCTCGTGATGTCTTTTTTTTTCACTTGCTTTGCTTTCCTCTCCACAATTTTCTCCAACACTTTCTCAACTTCTAGGGCCATTTATAGCTCAAGTTAGACAAAAACATGACTACACAGGAAAGACAATAGTGAAATTTATTTGGAAGAAGTGCGCAGTGGAGTATTGGCCCACAGTGCATCTAATGCTGTGCTGTTTCTCCCAGTTCCAGCAACACCCATGATGAACAGCCTCCCTTGCTACTCCACAAAATCTTCAAAACGTCTTTGTCTACCAGTTTGGAATGGAACTTGTATTTGGAATGGAACTTGTGATTTTTCTTGCACAACATACTGTATGAACAGTAGTCTAGTGTGTTTGGGGTGATGTCAATATGTATTTCCAATACAGATATTAGTCAAAAACCAAAAGCAAAAAGAGGCATTCTGTGAAATTTGGATATTAAAAACCAAGAAGTGTTTTATTGGGAAAACATTAATTTGGAAAATATTCGGTGGAATATGCCAATATTTTTAAAAATGAACTTTTCTCTCCCTCACACACATCATATCCAGCCAACTCATCAACTTCTCTGAATCTCAGTTCTGTTTTGTAAGGTTTTCTACGTTCAAAACTATAATTTCTTCTTTGTCCCCTTTGTCCATCAGTAGCCGTCATGTCACTTCTATCTCTGGATCTTTATTGTGACTGTTCTTTCTTCTCCATTTCTTATTATGTATAATCAGTTAAACCACCACATTTAGCAATTAGAAATTTTAGAGACTTTTTGAAAGCAATTTTTTTTTCTGAAGAGAAAGTGAAGGCAAAGGAGAACTGAACCCTTGCTTTCAGCAGTGAATAGAACATGAGGAAGAAAGAACAGCAAGTATAAAATATCCTTTTAAGAAATGTCACCATGTGTACAGTTTAATTTCATAGTCTCCTTAGCAGGAATAAAGAGAGGCAAAAAAAGTAACACACAACACCGACTGTATTCCATACATTGTTCCAAAAGTGCTATATGTTACTATCTGATTTATTTTTCAAATCGCTCAGAAGTAGATTCCGACAGTCCCCATGGTACAGAACGTAAAGATAGGAATTAGAGAGGTTGAAGTAGATTAGCTGACATCACACAGTTAGTAAGCAGTGTCAAGATCCAAGTTTATGTCTTTAAATCTCAGCATGTAACACGTACTTTGCACTAAACAGCATATGTAGGTTTCACGAAATTATTTAGCCACACACAACCAGTCAGATATTCCTATTTCAGGACTCTGACTGAGTTGCTACACCAGCATTCTCATCACTAGGCACTAGTTTTAAAGCACTGCTAAATATTGCAGAGAAATGAGTGACCTGAAAGATGAGCTATTCAGTCCTCATTGTTTTACATACGTTTTTTAAAGAAACTGATTTCCATGTTATATCCCAAAACAGATGTATTGAATAACTCCTGTTTGGAAGTAGCTGTGGTGATTAAACTCATACACACACACACACACACACACACACACACACACACTTGACTCCTGCCCTGATTGCATATATATAGGTTTTATTAAATATATGTCAATAAGTAGAGAATATGACCGTGATTGAATTTGCATATGGACATTTAGAAGAGGAAAGTTGGTTGTCTTTTTCTTATTAAAATTCATAAAACAATTATTTTTATCCTTCATCATTTAGCAATTAACAAAATTGCCATCCAGATAAGCTCTTAAATGTGACTCCTAGGGACTTAATAATAATTTAATATTACTTTTGCTAATAAAGCCCTGGGTCTATTTTGATTAATCAGAATTACTGATTCCAGATTCTGCTCAATTGCATCTTCCTAAATATATACATTTTTCCCCTCTTGTCTTTTCTATTTTAAGCTATCCTTGATGGAATTGTTAGCCTACACACATGAATACAGATGAAAAGTCTGTGTGAACTAGAGTCATTTCCAAAAGTTTAATGGATGTTGTTACTGTTGCTAGAACATAATGCCATTTATCCCAGTTTACATTGTGCAAATTCCAAGTTAAGTGTTTTTGCAGTAATGAGAAATTAAGAATCATTAAACATTCTAAAGATACACACACATACACTACTCATGAGACATCAAAAATAAGAGATGTTTTCAATAAATAATAAGATTTTATAGTTATAAAGTAATATAAAATAAGGATATGCTTGTGATATGTGCAAGAAATATAATTTTGCCAAAGCAAATAAAAGAAACGTGCTTAATAAAATGCAAATAAACAAGGTTTACTGTCAAATGTTTACACCACCTAAAGAATACAGGTAGAGATATAAAAAATACAGGATAATGTAAAATGAGACTTTTTTTTTTGAAAAATTCCTACCATATGCCAGACATTAAGTAAATTACATGGGCAGTTACCTCTTTTAATTCTTAAGAATCTTAGAACCTAAGAAACATGTGGAAATTATCTCTGCTTTATAGAAGAGGAAACTGTGTTTCAGATACATTGGGTAAAAATAGCTAATAAGAGGAGAGTCTGATATTAATATCTAATCCACTAGAACATGGTGCCTGTGCTTTCACATTTGACCTTGAGGTGCATTTTTTGTTTTGTTTTTTATTTTTTTTTTTCAGACAGAGTCTCACTCTGTCGCCCAGGCTGGAGTGCAGTGGCAAGATCTCAGCTCACTGCAACCTCCGCCTCCCAGGTTCAAGCAATTCTCCCTGCCTCAGCCTCCCAGGTAGCTGGAATTACAGGCACCCACCACCATGCCTGGCTAATTTTTGTATTTTTAGTAGAGATGGGGTTTTGCCATGTTGGTCAGGCTGGTCTTGAACTCCTGACCTCAGATGATCTGCCCACCTCAGGCTCCCAAAGTGCTGGGATTACAGGTGTGAGCCACCGTGCCTGGCAAGGTACATTTTTATACTTCTATTAAATAGGAAAATAGCTGAAATTATTGGAAATTTACAAATATCACATCAACTAATGGAGCTCTTTTGTCAGAGACAGGCCCAAAAGTGCCCTAGAGTGCTGATTTTATCTCCTTTGCTGTCCACTGGGGTAACCAATAGCCATGAGTACCTACTGGGTAATTGAAATGTGACTAATTCAAATTGAGATGTGCTGTGAGTATACAATACACACTGGATTTAAAAACTTAGTATGTAAACAAGAATGCAAAATATCTCATTAATACTTTATACTGATTTTGTGTTAAGCTGCTAAAATTTGGGTAGATCGAATTAAAATATATTATTAAAATTAATTTCGTTTTTAAAAATGTGACTATTAGAAAATGTAAAAGTAAATATGTGGCTTACACATTGTGACTCTATTGGAAATTCATGGTATTCCTTAACTCGCTTGCACCAACTTCCATAAACATCAAAAGAAACATGCTGGCTTTTCATTTGTTCAAGATACCACTATTCCCACTTCTGGCTTTATCCTCCCTTCCATATAGATACAGACAGATGTTAGATATAGTTACAGATTTACATATAGATATACCTCTCCAAGAAAGATGTTCTGTAACTTCATATATATACAAATGATATAGATATACATATAGACATAAATATATCTCACCAAGAAAGATGTCCTGTAACTACTGTAGTGGTAGTTGGTCTTACGGAGAGCCAATTCTGGGAGCCATTTCTAGAAGACCTCATTAGAGCTCATTCATCCAACCAATTCAACAATTTACACATATAAAATTGTCTCCACCGAATTACACTCTGCTTAAAATATTTAGAGTGACTTATATTGTCTGCATTCCAACCCTAACCCTAGCATATATATATTATATATGATATATAACCTCAGCATATATATATATTCAACATATATATATGCTTAGCTAATATATATCATATATAATATATATATATATAATATATGTTCTTCCCTAAAAATATCAGACTCCTGCAGAGTCTTCTAAACTCACAGTGAAGTTAAGGTGTTTCAGAATCATTTCGCAGCTTGAGTCTCTAAACCAAGTTTAGCATATCACTTTTACCAAGAAATGAGTATATACTTTTAGTTTCTGAAGGCACAATTAAAGGTACATCAAGTAGCTTATAGGAAAGTGAACTCCACATGCATTTTTATTTGTTATCTGCTTGAATGTAAGAGTTACAGCTGAGATAGCTATACAAATATTGCAGTATCTCGTCTCAATTTTCAGAATGCTCCTAAATCAGAGAAATAAAGGCATTCAGTTGTTTTTCTTGGAGTCTTTCTACTGCAGACATTCCCACAAGTTATCATACTTTATATGAATGAATACTCTTTTTTATTTTAATGTAATAAATTATATTAATGTTTAATATAATTAACCTTTTATATTAACTTTTCATATTCTTATATTAAATTCTTGTTTATTCTTTGCTTTCTAAGACCATTTAATATCTTTTCAATGTAGGTTCATTTTGAGAAAAAATTAAACTGATACTCAAGGTGGTCCACAATTTGGCTCTATTTCCTTTGTAATATCTCAGATAGCTACATAAGGTGCCCACCTCAGCCAAATCATCACCCACAGCCCACCTTGCAGTGTGCATGAACCATCCCTGTTCTTTCTTATGCCATTCAGCCTGCCTACAGCACTCTCACAACCATATCCTTTATCTGGTCCTCCAGGGCTCAAATTCCACTGCCCCTGCCCTACAAACTGAAGGGATCTTTCCCTCCTATGAGCTCTAAGTGTGGTTCCAAATTCTTGAGCATCCTATAAATACATTTCAAATTAGATATCCTCAGCTGAATGTTTTATTTTTCACTACAACCTCATAAACGTTTTTCTGCTTACTTTTCTCCAAATTTCTTTTTTATTTTTAATATTTATGGATACACAATAGCTGTACATACTTATAGGGGGCATGTAATATTTTGATACAAGCATGTGATGTGTAATGATCAAATCAGGGTAATTGGGATAACCATCACCTCAAACATTTATCATTTTTTTAAATGTTGGGAACATTCCAAATTCATTCCTCTAGTTATTTGGAAATACACAGTAAATTATTGTTAATTACATTCATCCTATTTGCAACATGGATGGAACTGGAGGATATTATGTTAAGTGAAATAAGCCAGGCAGAGAGACAAATATCACGTGTTCTCACTCACATGCGAGAACAAAAAAAAATGATCCCACAAAGGTAGAGAGTAGAATGGTAGTTACCAGAGGCTGGAAAGGGTAGTGGGGATGGGGAGATAAAGAGAGGTTGGTTAATGGGTACAAAAATACAGTTAGATTGAAGGAATACAATCTAGTGTTCAGCACTGCATAATGTTTAAATATTTCTCCTGGTATTTAGTTACATCCTACTCAATATTAAAGTTATTCAAGGCATTTTTTTCCTACCCACTTGCCATCTTGTATTATTTTTAAGAGCAATTTTTTAAAACAAATTATATTCATTAAAAATTTTAATACACACCCTCAAATATTATCATATTCAAAGAGCTCTGGTATGATTCATCTGTGCCCTTAATTTGTATTTAGTGTATAATCAATACTATTTTGTACATACTTTAAAACTTTCCTGTTGCAGATTTCCTAAAATATGACCTCATTCAAGATTTTACAAGTTTAAAGTCTTAAAATCCCCAACAAGATTGGTTTGTTCCTTTAGTATCCCACTCAATAGTTGTTTATTAAATTTTAAAGTGGTTTAACTTTTTTTTTTAATGTTGCTTCCTTGAGTCGGGCATGTGGCTCATGCCTGAAATCCTAGGACTTTGGGAGGCTGAGGCAGGTGGATTGCTTTGAGCTCAAGAGTTTCAGACCAGCCTGGCCAACATAACGAAAACTCATCTCTACCAAAAAACAAAAAACAAACAAACAAACAAACAAACAAAACCACCAGAAAACTCTTGCTCCCCCACCAACTGGATGCTACAAGATTATTTTTTATTACGATCAAATAATTACTCTTCAAAGGACCAGACTTATATAAGACCTATATCTGCCATCAAACATCCCACACAGAATGAAAGGCAAAGCTTTTCTTGGAGAAGTAGAGTATCTTGGGCAGGTCAATTACCTTTGCATTAAATCCACCTATGTATATTTCCCTTTCATTACAGTCTTAAAATGTTTATTTGCTTTCCTCTATACTATTCCATATAGTGTTAGAAGCCTGTCAGGCAAAGAGCCTGTTTAACTAATTGTCAACTGGGAAACATTTATCTAGAAACTTCTTTGTAACCAAATGAAAATACTTGCTTTGAAATAAACGGGGAAGGCAGAAGTGGCAACACTGCCCATTCCACCTACTATGTTATAAGCCAGAGCAAACAAATTAGTTTGCTCTTAATAAACCATTTTTATATTCATCAATTATAATAAATATAATTTAAATATCAATGAAACTGCACTTCTGTTTTCTACACTAAACTCATGGTTTAAAAAATTAATATCTGCTGGGCATGGTGGTTCATGCCTATAATCCCAGTACTTCGGGAGGCCAAGGCAGGTGGATCTCTTGAGCCCCAGAGTCTGAGACCAACCTAGGCAATACAGTGAGACCCCATCTCTGCAAAAAACACAAAAACTTGCCAGGTGTGGTGGAGCATGCCTGTAAACCCAGCTATTCAGGAGGCTGAGGCGGGAGGATCAATTGAGCCCAGGAGGAAGAGGTTGCAGTGAACTTAGATTGTACCACTGCACTCCAGTGTGGGTGACTGAGCTACATCCTGTCTCAAAAAAAGAAAAAAAGAAAAAAAAAGTAGTATCTATCATATCACTGGCTAAGAAAATTTACTCCTTTGTCTCGTTAATAATATTTATTGCATTTATTTTCATCTCAGACCTTTAATATTATATGGGTTAATGGTGCTTGCTAATTCTACTACTTACAACATTGTATCTGTAGGAATTATACTGAACATCTGCCAACTCAACATTTGAGTAAAATTCTTTCAACAAATTATCAAAAGTTATTTTAGGTTAAAAGGACATATGGACACATTTAATCATCTGCTTTGTTTCAATATCAAATTGGCATGCTCATGGTCCATGAAGAAGGTGGCAAATATCATAACCACAAAAATGTCTAATTAAAATTGAATAACTCTGTCCTCAATTTACCTATGTTTTATTGGAAGTGAATAGATGTTTGCTTAGGATTAAATTCTGAAGCAGACTGCAAACAAAGGAGTCTTCTCTTATTTTATTGATCTAAGAGGAAGGTGACTAAACAGAGAAGCCAGGAACTGATAAACAGACCAAAACACTTGGAGAAAATGTGGAAGACATTTTTATGAATAAAGGCTTGAGAAATATTTTTTTGAGTTTAAAAAGATCTTATATTTTCTTTATGAAAGTGATAAATTACTAGGTGTTTATGCTATTTCTTTTGCATTTTCTTTCTTCCTTTTCACCTTTCACCATGCAAAAATACCACACACACACACAGATTAGAATGTACCTGTTGGAAGAGGCACTGCCAGTTCTTCTTGCACGGAATCATGGAGTGATAGACAATTTTCTGTAAGCACAATGTCATCAAGTGCAATGTCTCCACGCTGACCTTTCCCAACTCTACCTTCAAATTTGAGTTGGAAGTCTTCATCACCAAACAGTGACAGTTCTTCTCTCCGCCAGAAATTGCCTTGTTCTACAGTGAGGTTAAGTAGAACCTTCGTTTGGTTTGTGACTGACACCTGCATTAAGGTGAGTGCCCCAATGCCATTTCCATACATGTGATAATGAAAAATAATCTGTAATCAAGAATAGGAATATTACATACGATATGATTAGTATAATTAATATGATATTATTTTCAATTCTATCACATTGCCCTCTTCTTTATTAACAGATTTCTGGAGGAAAATTACACCTGTTTATTCTCTTGCTCTGTCTGCACTTTAACACTGAGTGAAGTTAGACCAGCCTTGAGTCATATGTTGCAATGTATGGGAGACAGCAGAGGAAGAATCAAATAGAAATTTAGTAGGAATTAAAGGGCTGAGTTTACTTTCTTTCTGTGACTTCTGAAAGCAAGATTCCTTCATAAACTCTTAGAGCCCATTGTCAAAGGAATACAAGATCATTAAATTGCTATGCATTATACAAAAAGACTTTTCATGATTAAGAAATAACAGGAACAAAAGAAGATTATTTTTAATCTCATGAAACTTAAATTATTTTATTTTCTTCTTTTGCTTATTCCACTGCCATTCTTGTACTTGAAACACTTTTTCAGTTCTGTAAGATTCTCTGGGCTCCATTTAAATACAACAAAACCCCAGAACAGTAATTATCCAAATTTTACTTGAAATGCTACAAATGGGCCTTCACAGAGCAACCCACGGAGCTTTTCTTTGAGTAAAAATTAATAAAAAGTATTTTCAGGGATTAATATTTCAATGTTGCATAGATGAAATTTACTAGATTTTGAGTGATTGTCACACAGTGAAAAAAGTCTGGAAAAATTCTGGGAAAAGAACAGGACAGGTTAGGAGCAGTAGGAATTCAAAGCCTTTAAAGCTTTTGTCTTGTCATTTGTGTGAATGAGGGAAAACAGTGATGAAATTGTTCTGCACATAGGAAAAAAACATGTTTGAAACACTAGCAGTCACATATATCATACTCTACAAGAAGAAAAATGAACACCGTTAAATCATATATGCAGTGCATTAATTCAAAAAGGATCAACCAAGAATGGGTGAGCCATGCAGTGACTCTACCCATCTCCCAACTGATGAAATCTTTAATTATTATTCTATGACCCCAAAATACTTGTTCTATGGACTAACTTTCCCAACATGAGCTCTGTGATCATTATGGATTGTCCTGGTACCGGTGAAACTTGGGTACCATGACTCATTTGAGTGAGAAACAAAGTGGCCAGGGGCCAACCTCTCAGACAGCATCCCAGGACCACCTCTGTGGCACACTTCTGCAAGGACCCCTTGCAGCTACAAACAGGGACTTCTCCTTTTGTTTGTCTTATTTGTGCAACAAATATGAGGCATATGTTTTATGTCTCAGTAAATACGTTTATATCTTCTTCAGGTCATTTGCTGAATGATGCCATCAGGTTAACATGCAAACAGATGCACCAACACCCCTATTTCCAAGGGGAACATCTGGTGACGACAAAGCCTAACACAGGGTAGTGAGAGTGAATAAAAATCTTCTAAGCATTGGCAGGCACGGTGGCTCACACCTGTAATCCCCTCACTTTGGGAGGCCAAGGTAGGTGGATCACCTGAGGTCAGGAGTTCGAGACCAGCCTTGCCAACTTGGTGAAACCCTGTCTTTACTAAAAATACAACAACAAAAAACAGCTAGGAGTGGTGGTGTGCGACTGCAGTCCCAGCTACTCAGGAGGCTGAGGCAGGAGAATTGCTTGAACCTGGGAGGCAGAGGTTGCAGTGAGCAGAGATCACACTACTGCACTCCAGCCCGGGCAACAAAGTGAGACTCCATCTCAAAAAAAAAAAAAAAAAGAAAAAAAGAAAAAATCATTAAGGTCTCATCTCTTCTCTCATCACCCTCTACATGGATCCTTCCTATATACCAACCCCTACAAAGAAAAAAAAATTGATTATCTCTGCTTGAAAGGTATTCCACAAGATGAAGGGGCAGAGGTGATTCTCATAAAAATCTGGGAGGTCAATCTGCTTACCCGATGAATATATTTTTAATATAGAAGACCCAATATTTCCTAGCACAATCTTTCCTTACTTGCTTTTATTCAATCTGTATCATAAATATTCATAAAATGAACCATTCATCATTAATTTTTTGACATTTCTTCTAGGCATACTTCATTATTCTCACACAGATGTTTAAAACATTGGGGACTCTAGTTCTGGGACCAGGGGAATATAGCAATGGATGAAATCTTAGTTACTACAGTATGAAAAAATAATCCACTGGACATTTTTAGAAGTGTTTAAATAGAAAAGCTGAGAGGTCAACCTGGAATTTTCGTATTTTGTATTTAATATTTAATTAGGTTTATAAGACTAAAATGAATTTGTGATTTTCAGAATATCTATAGATGTATAAAGCTAAATTTATAGATATATACCCAACATAGAGAAAATCTGGTGTGCTTGGGTTTTATTCCTGAGAAAGTACTAAGTTATCTGGAAGACAGCAAAAACAGATAAAAACTATACTTGATAAAAACTCAATTTTTGCCAAAATAGATTTGTATGATTTACTTTCATTCTAGACTGCTGACCAAGTTCTGTCACTGAAACTCTCACCTGATCATGTCACTTTCCTTACAGAAAAATCTTCACTGTCTATGTGATAGATGAAATTGCTCTATGAGAGTTAAACTATAAAGTCAACTCATGATGAGACAGAAAAACTCTTAAGACAAAGTAAAAGTTTAACATGTATTAATACTATGGCAGTGGTAAGGTGTTGAAGGCTGTTTGATATGTTTCTCTCCCATGGTTAGGGCTCTGTCAGTTGTGGACACAGGCACAGAGAAGTGTAAGTTGGGCTGGGCGCAGGGGCTCACGCCTGTAATCCCGACACTTTGGGAGGTCAAGGTGGGCAGATCACCTGAGGTCAGGAGTTCGAGACCAGCCTGGGCAACATAGTGAAACCTCATCGCTACTAAAAATACAGAAATTAGCTGGGATGGTTGTGCACGCCTGTAATCCCAGCTCCTTAGGCATCTGAGGCAGGAGAACCACTTGAACCTGGCAGGTGGATGTTACAGTGAGCTGAAATCACGCCACTGCACTCCAGCCTGGGCGACAGAGTGAGACTGTTGAAGGGAAGGGGAAGGGAAGGGAAGAAAGTTTCTGGATGTAATTTGTTTGCTTTTTGGAGGTCAAACATTGGGGAACACTCTAGTCAGAATACATGTGTTCAGAAATTACAGACTGCATTTCTTATTGTAAATGTATTTATTTCTGTATCCATCTCTTGTAAGCAAGAGATCTCTGAGTGCTTGTGATCTCTGAACACTTAATTTGGACTATATGTAAAGGTAAATTTAGTTCCTAGCCTAGCTAACTCAAGTCTTTTATGGAATATAAACAAACAAGCAAACAATAAACAAAGGAAGGTGGAAAACCCTGTAAATACATAGTTATCGTATGAGGCTGCTGCTTTTCCCAAAGAACCATACAACCTTATTTATACTTTTAAATCTCCATAGATGTTTTCATGATTTTTTCACAGGCTAATGACCAAGTCATGTTTTCTTCCTGCTTATAGAAATTATTCTACTTCTTTTAGGAATAAGTTCAGGGTCCTTTTTGTTTTGTTTTTCATGAAGACTTACTCAACAATTTTTTTTTGTGGCTCTAACTATCTCTAATATTCATTCTTGGAGATATTTAATTATATTCTGACTGTTGTTTAATTCTATTTCTGTTTGTAAAATTTCCATAGTTTTAATAAGTACTAAGCTTCTTAAGAGAAAACAACTGATATCTTACTTCTTCTGTATTATACATGGTTGTGAATAACAACCATGGAATTTTCCAACAGTTTCCCAAACTTCAGTATCTATGGAATTTATCCATAGGAGAAATTCTTCCAACAGTTATAGCAATCCTTCCCCTTCATTCTGAACTTCATTTTTTCCCCCCTTCACATATCCAAAGTTGAATAAATTCAAACTCATCTTTTCTCTGGCCCCAGCCACTCTGTTTTCCGTATGTCAATTTATAAACTTGCTCACAATAATTCTGTGTTTGTTTGGTTGGTTGGTTCGATTTTCCCCATACCTTGCAGTTTTTGCTTCTCTTACTTATAACTGGACTTGAAATTCTGGCAGCTCTCATGGGCTGCTGAGGAAACAAACTCTTTATAAAGATGTAATGACCAGATGAATTTCCCAAAGTGTGATCTGCTGCTGGCTCTGTGCCTGCTGCAGGGATGCTGCTAGCTTTCAGGTTCCAGTCAAAGTCCTCATCTTTCTCCTGCTTCCAGGAACAAAGATCAAATTCGAAATCACAGCGCCCACTGGAGGTACCTGGAAAATATTTCCAAATATATGTTACAGAAAATGGAAATTTGCCTACTTTAAAACATGCAATTCAAAACTGCAGTGATCTTGCTGTATCATGTAATATTTGAAACCTTCATAATGCTATCCTGATAGCAACATATAAAGAGACTATTTTGGTTTGCGATACACACAGCTATTTCCGTGGCTTCTGTAAGTTCATTTCTCTACAAATCTGGTCCCAGTTTCAAAACTGATAAACTGTTTTAGCATTACACACATTTCCTTCTCTAAATACCTATTTGGTCAATATAATTTATTTATTCTGTCTTCTCATCTATGCTTCTCAGGTCTTGGTAAGAAATTTATTAAGTTTATTATTCTGCAATACATTTTAGGTTGGGTAATGCTGCCCCAAGCAAAAGTTATCATTTATCATAGTAGTTATTTTTTTAGAACAGTTCTTTATTTTAGAGAAAATTGTGAAACAGAAAAGTGAGGTAAAAAGGTGTGATAATTTGAATGAGCTTATTGAAATAAGTTGCAGAAATTAAATAGGTTAAGTTGCATTAAATACCACACTATCTCCCAGGTACTTTTTGAAGTATTTTATTACTGTCATTGCTTAAGTTGTTTTATTTTCCCATTTCCATGACAGTAGTAATTACACAGGCATCTTTTTATCGTGCGGCAAGTAAATTATAAAGCTGAAAATGGTAGTGAAGATGTTATAAAACTGAGCATTGTTGTATGAAGGTGTCATACCTTATACATTTATATATTTAGGACTTTTGATACTTTTCATTTTTAAGTCAATATTCATGATTCTGCATAAAACCAATGAGGGAGGCTGGGCATGGTGGCTCACACCTGTAATCCTAGCATGTTGAGAGGCTGAGGCAGGTGGATCACGTAAGGTCAGGAGTTCAAGACCAGCCTGGCCAACACGGTAAAACCCCATCTCTACTAAAAATACAAAATTAGCTGGGCATGGTGGCAGGCATCTGTGGTCCCAGCTACTTGGGAGGCTGAGGCAGAAGAATTGCTTGAACCCAGGAGGTAGAGGGTGCAGTGAGCGAGACTGTGCCATTGCAATCCAGCCTGGGTGATAGAGCGAGACTCCATCTCAAAAACAAAAAACAAAAAACCAATGAGTGAGTAATTTGATAAGTAACAAAATGTACTGTTTAGAATTCTTTAACGACAATAATTCTTTATGAAGTTCTTCTTGAATATTACAACTGAAATAAAAGTCTGTAAAATCATAAGTGAAATAAGTGTCCAAATATTAAAAATACTTGAAAAGAACCTAGGGTAGCATGTTGATATGTCTTCAGATAAATGTTTCTCTCTTAAATAAGCCTCATTTACACAATTGTTCAAAATTTTTAAGGCAAATGAGGGCAAAAATGATTCTGTCATCAAAACACTCAGGGATTTGCTCTCCAATGCACAAGCCAAAGAAACGCAGATAACCCCACAGATGCTATGGTAATTCCTGGACAAATCATGTACTCTATTTTATTACATATGACTCTTTAAGAATGTCCAAGTTCTATTGCACTTGGCATCAAATCAGTGAGGTTTTTGTTTGTTTGTTTCTGTATAGATACATTCTTATAGTTATCCCAAGTCAGATAAAATTATCTCAAGGTGCAAAATAAACCAATTACTCTTTGTAGTTTATAAGGTGGAGAATATGAAAGCATATGAGGCTGGGTGGAGTGCTTCACCCCTGTAATCACAACATTTTAGGAGGCTAAGGTGGGAGGATCACATGATGCTAGGAGTTCAAGACCATCCTGGCCAACAAAGTGAGACTTTGTCTCTACAAATAATTAAATTAAATTTTAAAAATTAAAAAAGAAAACATACGAGTTTTACCATCGTTTCTATGTCATTTGGGGATATATAAGAAAATACTAACATAAAATGTAAGCTAACTTTATTACACCTCTGAGCAAGAAACTTGTACAATAAAGAAAAAGGGCTTAAAATAATCATTTTTAGCTGTTGAAAGAACTAAAAAAAAAAAGATTACTTCAAGAAAACATCAAGACTAATAATTTGTTTTTCTAAATTGTTTAACAGCCAATACAAATTTGTAATGTCTTCAAGGATAGAGATACATTTTCTGTCATAATTTATGTCATCAAATGGAGAGAATGCCTTTTAAAAATCGAATTGCTAATTCAGTTTTCAAATGTCATTTGAAATGTATTTTGTAATTTTTTTTTTCCTAGAATAGACTATAATACTTATAACCTCTTGTAGTATAGAATACTGAAGTTCTAAGTATCCTTTCAAAGGACTGGGGAGTAGATGTCAGGAAAATAATAATGAACCCCAACTCAGCATCTAGTTTAGAATATGAACCGCTGTCTTAGTTAAGAACTATAAAATGAATAAAATAATTCAGTTGCCTTGTGCTGGAAAATTTAGCAGCCTGTGAGAAATATATTAGCATATAGAGCAGCATCTAGAGAGGCCATTTGTACAAGAAAATAATGTGTGCTGCTGAAAAACAGATTTGATATTTTCATTCATGTAAACACTGCTAAATCTTTATAATGTAAATCATATTTTTCTTTTGATCTTTTCCCTTGTTTTGAAGTTATGTTTCCTTGGAAAGTTTATTTCTAATATACCAGTGGGGAAAATAAAATAAGCAAAAATAAGTAGTTTGAATTTCACGTCACTGTGATGAGGGGGAACAACTTATAATTTCATATCCTATTATTTCCTATAGGCACCAGGTAATAAAAGGAGCACATAGTCTTGGGAACTGATGCCAATTCCTGGCATTTGTGGTGCAATTAATGCCAATATCAGACACCTGTGCCATCAGGAAGACAATGATCACCTTTGTCTAAAGCTGTGTCATCAATCAAACTATTTTCTACCTTTCCAAATCCTATAATTTGTCCATTGATCAATGTCTCTTACAGGTACAAAATTTGTAGGCTGAAAACCACGAAATGCTGATGAGAGAAATCAAAGATCTAAATAATGGGGAGAAACCTACTATGCTCATGATTGGAAAACTCAATATATTAAAAATATGACTCCCCCCCCCCAATTGACATGGTATTAAATGCAATTTTTATCAAAGTTCCATAACTTGTAGATATATATTTTTATAAAATATATATAGAACGTCAAAGGGACTAGAATAACTAAAACAATTTTGTATAAGAAGAATGAATTAGGAGGAATTAATCTAACTGATTTCAAGATTTATGATACAGCTTTAGTTAACCAGACTGTCTTGTACTGGTGGAGGAATAGATACCTAGATCAATAGAACAGAAAAGAACCCAGAAATAGCTCCATGTAAGTACAACTAATTTTTGACAAAGGTACAAAAACAATTAAATAAAAGTAGGACAGTCTTGTCAATGATGCTGGAGTAGTTGGTTATAGGCAAACATAAAAATAAAGAAACTGTGACCAAATTTGACACTTTAGACTAAAATTAACTAAATGATTCATACTCTTAAATGTAAAATGTAATATCATACAACTTTTTAAAGAACACAAAGGAGAAAATCAGGGACCTAGGACTTGGTGAAGTATTCTTAGATGTGATATCAAAGCATGATCTGGAAGAGGAAAGATCAATACATTGAACTTCATCAACATTAAATATGTTTGCTCTGCAAATGATCCTGTTAAAAGAACAAAAAAGACAACCCAAAGCCGGGGAGAAAATATCTGCCATTCACATATCTGTTAAAAGACTTATACCCATAATGTGTAAAGAACTCTCAAAACTCAACAGTTAAAAAGAAGTCTAATTAGAGAATGGGCAAAAGAGATATTTCAGCCAAGGGGATATATGGATTATAAACAAGCACAGGAAATAATATTCAACATTACAAGCTATTGGGAAAGTGCAAATTAAGACCATGGTGAGATATTACTCCTCAGTTATAAGAAGGGTAATATAAAAATAAAATAGTAACACCACCAAATCATCACAAGGACGTGGAAACACTTGTTCTTGTGTACATTATTGGTGGTAGTGTGACACGATGCAATCGCTCTGGAAAATAGCACCAGGGTATGGTTACCTCAATAGCATGAAACATGACTAAGCAATACAAAGGAAAACGTGATTTATACACACAACAATTTTGATGGATCTCAAGAGGATGATGCTGAGAGAAAGAAGATCTTTAAGACCTATTCTCAAAGGTCACATCCTGTAGAGTTCCATTTATATAACTTTCTCAACATGATAAAGCAAAGAGATATAAAACAAAGTAGTGGCTTCCTGAGGTTAGGGATGATGGGAATGAGTTTGACTATAAAGAAGTAGCTCAAGGAAGATCTTTGTAAAGATGGAGTATCTTGATTGTGGCAATGATGCTTTACACAAATTTATGCATGTAATGAAATGCTGCAGACTTTCAAACATTGAGACAATATTAGTTTCTGGGTTTTAATACTGGACCATAGTTAGGTAACCACTGAGGGAAAAATGCATGAAGGGTACATAGTATTTTTCTGCACTCTCTTTGAAGTTTCTATGAATTCATAATTATTTCAAAATTGAAGGCTAAAAATATTAATATCACTTGCTGATTATCATTAGGAATTTATGATAGAGTGGTTTCCAGTGTATTTTGTTATTCTGTGAAGTAATAATCATAAATACATTAAACAAAATTTTTCACACTGTGATATACAGAATGACCGTCCTATAAAGGGCATATTTGTGTTCCTACAAAGAAAAAGGCAGTTTTGAGGGTAAATAATTTAGAAAAACTCTATGTGCATCAACCTTTTGAAAATTCATAAGGCATATTATATATCAAACATTTGGAAAATATGGATTATCTCATGAGTGATTCAGAGAGGTCCTTCATATATAATTTTTCCTTCTCTGTCAACGACCTGATTTTATAATCTGGAAAATATTATCCTAAGACTTGCCACTTAAGACACTGCCACAGAGAGAGGAGGGACCACTGCTGGTAATTTTGGAAAGACAATGAATGTGGTCTTAGCTCCTGTCACTCAGCTGCAGTCAGGACAGCTGATCCTTCCCAGAAAGCCTGCCTTAATAACATCATGATACCTGACCTACTTTCTAACATAATTTCTCAAAGAAAACAAAAGCTATTCTCAGTCCATGCTTAATAACATCTCTGAAAACACACTGGTTGTTTTCAAAGCAATGTGTTACTTTCATGAAAGCCCACGTTGGGATTAGTATTTATATATGACTAAATTATCTTCATTTAGCCCCTCCAAAAGTACTTGGCACTTTCTCTAACTCTCAAGAAATGCAAATGTTTATTTACATATCTCTTTTACTAGACAAGAAGCTCCACAATTATTCAGGTCATATCTTGTTTTCTTTGTTTTTGCTCTAGGGCCACTTCTATTGGGGGTGCCTAATGTTTACCAAATAAACAAATGAAAAGGAAATCTGGTAGTAATATGTCAGATAATGTGAGTGTTAATTATAAGATGCTTCCTTAGATTTTAAATGGTTATTGACTAAGAACAAAGTAATGACGCAGGTCAGTCGTTTTCAGTACCCAGGATAATGCACACTGGTGTACTACTCCCTAGCCCAGAGGCAGTGTACACTGTGAAATTAATTTTTACCACAGCGGAGCACTAATTACGAAATGATAAAAAGTTTCAGATGGAACGTCGACCTTACTATAATAAATAAATAATATACGTAATATAAACTTACTGCAAAAAGTAACAATTATACCTTCAAACCACAGTCCCTTCTCCCCCAGAATTCATCAGTTTACTTGGAAATTAGAGAACGCTATATAGTTATATGCCATAACAATTAAAAGAGGGCAGTCAAGATGTGAACACATCAACTCAAAAAACTCAGTAAATAAAAACATCCTGAGGGATAAAGTGGGTGGTGAAATTCTCCTTATGCATTTATAGAACCCAAACGACACTGTTACTGACATGGTGATGAAATAAAAGGGGCTGGGTTTTAATTATTCTTGGCTTTTAAAAATGTCTTTGTTTTTTTAACTCCTTCAGTTACATCGCATATCGTTTGGCTTGATTCATCATTTTTCATTCTTTAGTCAAATATTAATTTCTCAATGAGAATTTCTATGACTACCCTATTTAAAATTATAAGCCACGACTGCAAGCATTTTGCTTTACTTTTCCTTACTTTTTGCTGGAACACTAATCACTGTAATATCTGTGTGTGTGTGAGTGTTTTATATACATGTATGTATAAAATACGTGTGTGTGTATATATATGTGTGTATATATATACATATATACACACATATATATACATATATACATATATATACACATATATATACATATATACATATATATACACATATATATATATACATATAGTGTTATTTTACTTATTTTGTTTGATATTTGTGTCCCACCCACCACCAACAGTCAGAATGGAAACTCCACAACAGGACATGTGTATGTATTGTTCACTTCATTATCCCAAGAAACTAGAAAAAATGCCAGACATATCATAATAAACACTTGCTGAATGAATGCTCATTTTTACAAGTTTCTCAAAACCTTCAATAAGTTATATTAGTAGGCAAATACATGCATATGAACTATGTGTTGACTTGAATATATTTTAGTCTATTCAATTCATAAAAACAGAGAGAAAGTTGTAAAAAATATAGAAAGATATACAAAATAAAACACAAATTATTGCTAATGGTTAAAAAATTAATATCGAATATTAAAACCAATAAATATTTGCTTATGTTGACAAGGAACTAAAGAGTGCAATACTAGCTCCCCCTTCCACCAGAAAGCTTTGTAAAATTTTTTGTATTATTGAGAGCAATGCTTTTCAAATTTTAATACACATATGAATCACCTGAGGAACTTGCTAACATGAAGTTTATGATTTAGTGAGTCTCAGATGGGGTCTCAATGCTGGCAAAGATGCTGATGCTCTCTAGACCAAAATTTAAGTAGAGGTGAGTTTAATTATTTAACAATGCTAAATTTTGCACTGCTATGACATAAAAAGTAATGATATTTTGAAGCACATTTCATCCAGTGGGAAATAACCTGTGTTTAAACATATCTGTAATAATTGTGAAAGACTGCTATTAAGTGATTGAGTATAAGAGTTTGGTTGATTTTTTTATTAAATGTTCTTTCCCCTCATCCTCCCAGTCTATGCAGAGTACACTTTTCTATCCCACTGATTTTGGAAATGGATTTGTGACTTTGTATGGCCAATGAAATATTTAGACGCATGACACAGGCAGAGAATAAACATTTACTTTCATGTCTGGATTTGTGCCCTTTTCCTCCTATTTTTTGCTCAAAGAACATGCCTTAGGTAGCTGCTGGCTCAAGCCTGGACTCCACCCACACCTTACAAGTAAGCCCTGCTAAGCTCAACCCGAATCACAGAACCTTGTGGGGATGTTAATGGGTACAAAAAAAAAAAAGTTAGCACATCAAATTGACTACAGTCAGTGATAAATTAATTTTACATTTTAAAATAACTAAAAGAGTGTAAATAGATTGTAACACATGGGATAAATGTTTGAGAGGGTAGATATCCCATTCTCTGTGATGTGATTATTTCTCAAGGCATGTCTGTATCAAAACATCTTATGTAACCCGTAAACATAGACATCTACTATGAAATGGTTTGGCTCTTTGTCCGTACCCAAATGTCATCTCAAATTGTAATCTCCAAGTGTCAGAGAGGGACCTGGTAGGAGGTAATTAGATCATGAGGACGGTTTCCCTCATGCTGTTCTTATGACAGTGAGTGAGTTCTCAGGAGATCTGATGGTTTAAAAGTATGGCACTCACTCCTTCGTTCTCTCTCTTCTGCTTCCATGGAAGACATTCCTTGCTTCCTCTACACCTTCCACTGTGATTGTAAGTTTCCTGAGGCCTCCCCAGCCATGTGGAACTGTAAGTCAGTTAAACCTCTTTTATTTTTAAATTACCCAGTCTCAAATATGTCTTTATAGCAGCGTGAGAATGAACTAATATAACACATACTATGTACCTACAAAATTTAGAAATTTAAAAATTAAGAAAACACATCACAGAACCTCATCACATACAGGGTGAAAATAAGAAATGGTTTTTAAATGGCAATGAATTTTGCTGTAGTTTGTTACACAGCATTATCATGATACAGATGACTTATGCAGAAGTTAGTACTTGTAATGGAGTGCTGACATAAAAATTACCTAAAATTTGTAGCAATGGCCAGGATGGCAAGCAATAAAGGAACTGTTATAGGAGACTGAAAATTTTGAGATTTATGTTATGTAACATCAAAACATTTGAGAAACCTGGTGCCCAAGATATTGTGGAAAGCTGAATATGTATATAACTATATTACAAATTTGTGTGAGGAGCTTTTTGGGCAAAATGTTGAAAACGTGAATTGGCTACTACTTGACGTATTTGATAAGATGCCACGAGAAAAATATAAGCTCAGGAAAGAACTGAGCAGCTAGTAAACACATTTAAGAAGGCAAGGAGAGAGGTCAGAAATTCTGAGATTTTAAACCTCAGAAATAGAAACTTTAATTGATCATTTAAATAGTGGACTGCTAAAATACATCTTCCAGAAAAGACCAAACCCAGGGCTCCACCATGAAGGCATGGCCTTGGGATAAAGTCCAAACTAAGTGTAGAGCTGCAGACTGTTTTTCAGACTTTTGACAGGAAAAGCATCCTCCTAGGGATGTGTGTGTGTGTATGTGTATTTATGTGTGTGTGTGTGTGTGTATAGTCACCCTGACGTGCTAATAGTAGGACTTATTAATTCAATCTAACTATATATATACACATAGTTGTATATATAGTATATAACTAGTATATGTATATACTAGCATATAGTATATATGTAGTTTTATATATATAATATATGTATATATGTGCGTGTGTGTGTGTATATATATATACATATAGTTAGAAATAATTAATAATACATACTGTTTGACAGCACATCAGGGTGACTATAATCAATAATATCTTAGTTTTACTTAAAATAACTTAAAGAGTATAATTGAATTGTTCGTAATTCAAAGGATAAATGCTTGAGGAGATGGATACCCCATTCTCCATGATATGCTTATTTTACGTTGCATGCCTGTATTCAAACATCTCATGTACCCCATAAATATATACACCTACTATTATATGGTTTGGCTCTTTGTCCCCACCCAAATCTCTTCTCAAATTGTAATCCCCACATGTCAGGGAGGGACCTGGTGGGAGGTGATATTTTTTATGGTTTATTTTGTTATGGTTTTACAAAAGTCTGAGACATCCAGCTTTAAAAATAATTGAGCTATCACATCCATTATTAATTGAAAAAAGGAAATTTGAAAAGGCTACATGTTGTATGATTCCAAATACATGATATTCTGGAAAAGACAAAACTATGGAGACAGGATCAAAATCAGTTGCCAGCTGTTTAAGGGTAGAGAGGAATAAACAAGCGGAGCATAGAGGATTTTTAGGGCAATGAAACGACTCTGTAAGGATACTATGGTAGTCGATACATGTTATTATACATTTGTTAAACCCACAGAACATACAGCACCAAGAGTGAGACCTAATGTAAACTATGGAGTTTGAGTGTTAATGATGTGTCATTGTAGGTTTATCGATTATAGAAAATGTACCACTCTTGTATGGGGAAGGCTATGGGTATATGGAAAGAAGGAGTATATGTACTTTCTTTCTTTTTTTTTTTTTTTGAGACAGAATCTTGCTCTGTCACCAGGCTGGAGTGCAGTGGCGTGATCTTGGCTCACTACAACCTCTGCCTCCTGGGTTCAAGCAATTCCCCTGCCCCAGCCTCCCGAGTAGCTGGGACTACAAGTGTGTGTCACCACGCCCAGCTAATTTTTTGTATTTTTAGTGGAGATGGGGTTTCACAATGTTGGCTAGGATGGTCTTGATCTCCTGACCTCATGATCCACCCACCTTGGCCTCCCAAAGTGCTGGGATTACAGTCGTGAACCACCGCACCCAGTTGATAACTGTACTTTCTACTCAGTTTGTTGTAAACCTAAAATTGCTATAAAACTAAAGGTATTAAAGATAAACATGAAAAAAGACAACCTACAAAATGATGATAAATATTTGTAAATTGCATATTTGATAATGATTTAAGATTTAGAATTCTAAAGAACTTCTGTAACTCAACAAAAGATAAACAATTCTGTAAAAAAATGGACAAAATACTTCAATAGACATTTCTCCAAAAAGAGATACACAAATGGCCAATAAGATCAAGAAAAGATGTTCAACATCATTCATCATTAGGAAAATACAAATCAAAACCACCATGAGATTACACTTCATACTCCCTAGGATGGCTATAACTAAAAAGCTTAAAAAGGAAAGCAGCGGGTCCCAGACCTCCTTCAAAAATTTGCTTGAATACCTTCTCACCTAGGCCTGTCCTTACTGTGCTACTTAATATTTTAATTTGCCATCCTTCCATTTCATGATTTCTTATGTTTTATCTTTTTCTCATAGCACTGATCACCTCTTAACAAGCTGTGTAATTTTACATACACATATGTAAGTATGTACCTATTACTTAACAAATTGTCTAGCTTACTTATATACACATATGTTAAGTATGTACATATACACATACACACATATGTATATGAAAGTTTACTTACATATACATATGTGTAAGTTTACTTGTGTATAATATATACACAAATATATACACACAATATATTTTGTGTAATACATATACACACACAATATATATTTTCTGTTTAACAAAGAAGTACATGCTCAAGAAGAACAGGATATTTTTTCTGTTTCATTTAATGATATATACTAGGTGTCTCAAAAATTGCTTGCCATATAACAACTGCCCAATAAATATATATTAATTAAATAGTTTTGTCTTTATTTTTCTTTATTCTTGGCAGGGTTTTGAAAATTTTATTGGTCTTCTGAAGTCCTCCATCTTAGATTTGTGTTCTATTTCATTAATTTGTGCTATTACCTAATTGGTTTCTAATATAATTTTTTAAGGCAAAACATTTTTCTCTATCTACTGGCTTAGCAAATGCCCACAGTTTATGTTATGCAATATTCTTGTTATTTCTGTTTCAAAATATTTTTAATTTAATGTGATTTAGGAGGGGGGCATGGGCTATTAAAAGTGTCTTTTTCCTAAACAACAGGAGTTTCCTAGACATTGTCTTGTCATTGATCTCAAGCCTAATTCAGAAGGTATACCCTAGGTGACTTTAACCCATCAAAAATTACTACTTAAAATTATAACCCTTTTTTGTTCTTTGCTAAATGTTCTGTGTGTGCTTGAAAATGATACATATCTGAAGCTGTGAAACTGTGTTACATATGCCCTTAGGTGCAGATCACTGACTGTGTTGGTCAACTCTATTGCATCCTTACCACAGCACAAAGTTAAAACATTTGGAGAATGCTTGAGATACTCTGAATTGTGTCTCATCCGTAAATAAGCTAATTAGAATGTATTTGAAAGCTAATAAAATGGTTGTTTCCCATAGAAGTCTCTGTATCAATGGCATGATTATGTTCAAATAAGATTTTAGAGTTCCTAGATACACAAATCACTTTTGACTACATCCTGTATTGTAGAAGTGTTATTCAGATTATTTTTTAAAATTACTTTTTTATAGATTCTTGCTTTCAGAGTCTACACTGATATACAGATAATTAAAGCAGGATGTACATGTTTATATTACAAAGGATTTCTAAGTATTTTATTCTCTTTGTAGCAGTTGTGAATGGGAGTTCACTCATGATTTGGCTCTCTGTCTGTTATTGGCTGTCGGCGGGTGGGGGGCTAGGGGAGGGACAGCATTAGGAGAAATGCCTAATGTAGATGACGGGTTGATGGGTGCAGCAAACCACCATGGCACGTGTATATCTATGTAACAAATCTGCATGTTCTGCACATATACCCCAGAACTTAAAGTATAATAATAAAAAAAAATTTTTTCTCCATGAAATGTTTTATATCTTTAGAAAGAGTTGATTTCTTTCATTCTTTCTGCTATTCCTAGATGGTATATTTCTACCTAATCACATTTTCAAAGCCTTCTCAGAGTTGTGATATGTGTTCAAGCTTTACTTAGAATTCTCAAAACAAAACAAAGAAAGGAGACTGTGGAATTTAAACCCAAATACATGGTTGGTTGCCAGCCAAACTTTTGAAATCATTTTCTATGGTGATTCTTTTAATATTGTCTTTCTCTTCTTCTGGGTCAAATTAGGGCATCAAAGTTCATAGCATATAAATATAATAACACCACTTATAATTCATATGGCAGATTCCAGCCACTTTATAACTAAAACGTAACATTTAAGACCAGTAGACTGGAAACACAGTTGAACTTTTAAAAAAAAATTAGCAATGCTATGTTAAAAGAAATAATTCTCATGTAATGGCAACCAACGCCAAAATCAGGTTTATTCTGATTTGTTTGTTTGTCCTAGGAGCTGAAAAAGTTTTACTTTTCCTATGCATTATTTGGAACTAATTCAGCTTTGTTGCTCTAATATTACCGGTATGAATATGCCCACTCAAATCTAAAAAAAAAAAAAAACAAAAAAAAACAGAACAAGAGGTTTTGCAATCATTCACCAAAAAGCACCTTCTGATACAACTTATCCTCCAAAGGTTCATGATTACTTTTGCCTTTAGGTTTGAAATAAAAGAACTAACAAGACAGTATGTTTTTAATATGTTTCCGATTCCCTTGGTAAATCAGCATACGTTCCCTAATACAGAGAGAAATTCCTAGAAATACGCACAACTTTAGAGCCTAAATACAAAGAGTTCAAGAAATATTTAGCCAGAAATAAAATGATACCTTGAATTCTGAAAAATTACACTAAACTATATCTCTAGGAAAGAGATACACTGGAAACATTACAAATAAAATTCAAAAGCATTATATGTGCTCTATTTAACTGTTAACCTTATTTGTGTAATATTTAAGGGAAAATGACAATGAAGAAAATCTACAAGCACTTGATACAAAAATAACTAATAGCAGAAAATATTCATAAGGTAAAGATAAATAGTAATAAATACAGAATTCCAGAGTAGCAAAGTATTTTCCCTTTTTCACATAATAATGGATATAATAAATAATCCAAAATTGAAGGAATATATAGTCAAGTGATTTTAAAAGGACATCTATATCTATAACTGTAAAGAATAAGTTTTGTTTTCAACTGATACAGTAATTATCATATTTATGGGGTACAGTGTAATGTTTTCATATACGTATGTATTATAGTACTGATCGAACCAAAGTTAACACTTATCATCTCTCAAACACTTGTCATCTCTTGGTGGTAAAAACATTAAGTTTTTTTTTTTAAGATTCAGTTATACACAAAAGTGATAGGGTATATGCAGGAGAATGAAGCTGGAACTCTACCTTTTATCATACACAAATATAAACTCAGGACAGATTAAAGACTTAAAGGCAAGACCTAAAACTATAAAAATTCAAGAAGAAAACCAAGGAAACTGAATTTTTCACAATAGCCTTGGCAAGGAATTTATGACTAAATCATCAAAAGCAATTGAAATGAAACCAAAACTTGAGAAGTGGGACCTAATTAAACTAAAGAGCTCTGCACAGAAAAAAAAAAAAAAAAAAAAAAACCTACCAACAGAGTAAACAGACAACCTACAAGACAGCAGAAAATAGTCACAGACTACGCATACATACAACAAAGGTCTACTTTCCTGAATCCATAAAGAATTTAGTCAATTCAGCAATCAAAAAACAACCCCATTAAAAAGTGGGCAAAGGACATGAACAGACACTTTTCAAAAGAAGACAAACAAGGGGCAACAAACATATGAAAGAAATGCTCTGTATCACTAATCATCAGAGAAATGCAAATCAAAACCACAGTGAGATACCATCTTACACTAGTCAAAATGCCTTTATTAAAAAGCCAAAAAAGAACAGATGTTGGCGAGGTTACCGAGAAAAGGCAAAGCTTACACACTGCTGGTGGGAATGTAAATTAGTTCAGCCACTGTGGAAAGGAGTTTGAAGACTTCTGAAAGAACTCAAAGCAGAATTACCATTTGACCCAGCAATTCCATTATTGGATATATAACCAAAGGAAAATAGATCTTTTTCCCAAAAAGATACACGCATTCCTATGTTCATCGGAGCACGATTCACAATAGCAAAGACATGGAATCGATCCAGGTGCCCATCAATGGTGGATTGAATAAAGAAAATCTGTTACATATACACCACGGAATAATACACAGTCATAAAAAAGAATGAAATCAAGTCCTTTGCATCAACATGGACACAGGTGGAGGCCATAATTCTAAGTGAATTAATGCAGGAACAGAAAACCAAACACTGCATATTCTCACTTATAAGTGGATGCTCAACAATGGGTAAATGTGGACATAAACATGGGAACAATAAGAGCTGGGGACTACTAGAGTGAAGAGAAGGAGAGGAGGAAAAGGGCTAAAAATCTATTGTGTCCTATGCTCACTATCTGGCTGACAAGACTAACCATACCCCAAATCTCCCCATCACACAACATACAAGAAACCTGCAAATGTACCACTGATTCTAAAATAAAAGTTGAAATAATTTTTTTTTTTTAAAAAGAAGTGGTGTGGTAGCTTGGGCAAAACATTGGATCATAAATCAAAATACTTGAGTTCTAATGAGAACACATGGACAAAGGGAGGGGAACATCATACACCAGGGCCTGTCAGAGGGTAGGGGGCTAGGGGAGGGATAGCATTAGGAGAAACACCTAATGTTGATGGGTGCAGCAAACAACCATGGCATGTGTATACCTATGTAACAAACCTGCACGTTGTGCACATGTACCCGAGAACTTAAAGTATAATAATAAATAAAATACTTGTGTTCTAGGACCAACTCTGTCAGTACAAGTTTTATGAACTTTGACAAAACCTAAGGCACTCTTGTTGACAGCTTCATCTGTTGACTGCACTAATAATATCTTTCCCATGTACCTCTCAAGACTTCTGAAGTTCAAATGAAGATTAATAAATAAAAAGGCTTTGAACATTAAAAGTTCTATATATATGTAAGCTCTATATACTGAAGTTGTTCATGATATTCCAGGTTTGGTTCCAAGAAGCAAATAATATCAAACTGCAATATTCTAGCTCAGAAATTATTAAAGGTAATGGTGACATAATTTGTCAACCTTCATTTTGACAATTTATATACAACTCACTTGCAGTTAAATGAAGCAACAATTGGACTATGTTGCACAATCTTACAGGCTTAGCAGATTGAGTACATATGGTGCATTTAGCTAAGGATATTTTAATATATGGTGTTCATTATGAGTTGATCTCCTTTAACCATATCACACAGCTGATATGTATCTCCTTGAGAGATCACTTTGTCTATTTTATATACAGGTATTTATCAGGGTGTTGATTTTTTTTAACAACCTATCACATCTGACAATATACACAGAGAAATGACAATCCTCTGAAATGCATCAGAGGCTGCAGGCTCACCAGTCCTGCATGAATTGTCTTTAATGAAAATTTTGCCTGTCATTTTTCAAAAAAAAAAAAACAACATTTATTTCAGGCCAGGCACAGTAACTCATGCCTGCAATCCCAGCACTCTGGGCAGCCAAGGCAGGCAGATCATGAGGTCCAGAGATCAAGACCATCCTGGCCAACATGGTGAAACCCCACCTCTACTAAAAATACAAAAAATAGCTGGGCGTGGTGGCAGGCGCCTGTAGTCCCAGCTATTCGGGAGACTGAGGCAGGACAATCACTTGAACCTGGGAGGCGGAGTTTGCAGTGAACCGAGATCACGCCACTGCACTCCATCCTGCAACAGAGTGAGATTCCGTCTCAAAAAAACCACTTTCATATGAAAAATACTTGTTTCCATTCTGTTTTTCTTTGAAGACACCTGTTTTCCAATTTATCTCCAATTAATACACACATACACACACACAGCCATCAATTGGTTGTAAATGAATTATGATTATAAATGAATTATTCAGAGAAAGGAGGGAATGTGTCAAGTTAAATCACCTTACCTTCCCCTGGTGTTGAGATACACACACTCTGCATGTTTCAACAATAAACACAGATATTGAGTAAGGCTGTGGGAGTTGAAGGCAAAAGTAAGAAAACAGAACCCTTTTACTTACGGCAAATGAAAGTAGTCTCATCTGAATTATCAGCACAATCATTCACAAAATCACACAGCTTGTCTTTGGCAATGCAGTGCTTATTAGCACACATGAATTCATGATCAGTACACTTTCTCTCTGGGCTAAGCAAAGGGGAGCAATCTTGGAAGGAAATATCATCCACTGCTACATCTCCTATGTAACTGATACCACGTTTGGCTCTGAAGACAATCTAAAAAAAAAAGCCAGTTACAGTTAAACTGTCAATCAAGAAGTTCAAAACCTGGGCAAACACTAAGTATCAAGCACATCAATCGTGAATCTGTTTTTTGTTGTTTGTTTTTTTGTTTTTGTTTTTGTTTTTTATGTCCCTATGTTGAAAGTGACCCAGGAAATTTAAGGACCATTTAAGACCTAGGTCATCCTCAACACCTAAGAATGTGGGAGTGGCAACACCACTGGCTTATGTCTAGATTTTTAGGATATGGGTCTAGAAAATTTGCAGGAGACACCAATCCACTACTGCCTTTGCCAGCTCTCAGATCTCCAACAAGACCTACTCCTGTTTTAGAGCATCACTGCACAGGAAAGCAGTAGATCAGATGACATAAAGTACCAAGAGTGAAAAGATACAAGTAGATTCTTTATTTTGCTCAATTCTTGTCATTCATCAGATCTCTTCATTCCTACTATTTGAAAGCTAAAAGATAAGTCCTCAATACCATGAGTTTTTTTTTTTTAAATTGTACACATCTTTGGAATTGAAATGATTTTGATTTGCTTTTGATTCATGTATGTGATGAGCAGAATCTTCATGTGTCCTATTGTTTGACAATGATTTCCCACGTGTGTGGACTTCAGTAGAATCAGGAAGAATGAAGAATAGTAACAGGAATCATTAATGCTTTTACAAATTCCATCTTCAATTTATCAACAATACCATTGCTTGGAATAAAAATGAATGTTGTTTCACAGGTACATAAAACATCACATATTCTGTAGTTTAGGATTTTTCAGAGAAAGGAATTCAGTCTTTTTATTAAGTTTTTCTGTAAGCTAAGTATGTATATGTTAACATAAGAAATATTGAGATATTTCAAAATAAATTTAGAACAATTGGAGGCGAGTTAACAAGGACAGTTTTACTTTAGTGATTTTGTACAAAATATTTACTGTTACCATATTTAGAAATATATTTTGACCAATTCTGGACAATTATTTTTCTTAAAAGAAATAATTATAGTTTTTTTTTTCCTTCAGATGCGGTAAGTCTTTATACTATTGTGTGAACCTAGGTGTTCTCCTCTTAACATGAGAGGTTGGAATAATTGAAATCATGCCTCTCACATTATCAAAAAAAAAATATAACTGTGTTCATATATTGACTTCATGTAAAAGGAATAGACTGCTCTTCATAGTAGGTGAGCTTGGAAAGAAAAAAAATATTAGTAAGATAGATGAAGAGCTTGAAAGTGATTAAAAAGAGATGAAACCAGAAAGTATAATAAGGACTATGACTTTCTTAAAAGGGAAATTGAGCCATGGAAAAATATTGATATGCAAAATATAAAAGATACTCTATTATCTGGATAGTCTAAAATTTCAACATATGCTGCAATGCTCTGTGAATAAGAAATCAGATAATGCAATGAGTGTTGCACTGTTAACTGGCTTATCTTCTGCCATATAGGTACAATCTCAGATACTTGCCTTGTTCAAATAATCAAATCATCACTTATATCTCAATGCTTCATATAAGGTTGGTTGGGATTCCCTAGACTTTAATACCGAATGTGATTAACTGTTATTAAAAAAGAGAGAAACTACAATGTATCTTTCTTCAGACAGAATATAGTCAGGGTTAATTATTTTCTAAAATTTGGTAGACAATGTAGCATGGCAGTTGCACTGTGGACTGGTGGAAGGCCTGACCTTGTCTACAGTCAGCCTCTGCCATTTGTAGTTACATAACTAGAACAAAAGACCTAACATCTGGGTATTTCTGTATTCTAATTTATAATATGGAGATAATAATACTATGTAATTCATAAGGTTATTGTGAAAGCAAAATGAGTAAATATTTTAAAAATTCATAAATAGTATGTAGCACTCAGTAACTGCTACATATGCAATTGCTCAAATAGTAAAAATTATTGTAATTAAATATTTTGTTTAAATTGGGGGGGGGTCCCAAATAAAATTATACAAGCTTCCCAGTGATGCTTCAGCATACCATTTCTAAAAATATTTTATATGTTTCCCCAAGGGCTAGAGGCAGTCTTCTTTGTGAGACTAAAGAGAACGATCTTGTAAAAAATGGCAGAATCACGAAGAGTGTGCCTAACTAACCACTGTCTCTCTCGTGCATGGTGCATAGCAATGTGCTTTGCACGTAGTAAGTGCTTAATATGGAAGAAATCACACATAAAACAGCAAATATTCACAAGCCATTAATATTTACTTTTAAGAGTCAAAAAAATCAGGGGTATACTCTTTTTTAATCTCAATATGTGAAAAACTAGAAATTCAGAATGGCTAAATTAATAATTGATTGTATGTGCTGAAATTCCCCTTAATATTACTTCAAACACGATTTTACTATACAAATATTTTACATGCACAGAACTAGTTAAGACTTCATCTCCTGGGGTGGAAGCCCAAGTGTGGCAGAGTAGAATCTTCTACATGTTCTTGCTGAGATTTCTTCTCGCCTCAGTTTAAAGACCTGAGAGGCTGAACAGTTGGGATCCCTCTAATAAAAAGTTTCATGTTGCGCAAGGCTATGAAACTGATATTCAGTCTTTACTGCTTCAGGTTGAACTTCCTTCTTATGCATATCCTAAATTATCTAAAAGTGATTCATAAGAAAACTGGATTCCAGAGAGAGGCAAAAGATACATGGGATTTACTACACCTATCATTCCAAGAAATTGGCTGTAACACTTTTCAGTGCTTTTATACAATGGAAGCCTGTATACTCCCACTGGAGTTGAGAGGAGCTGATCTATCAGAGAAAGCACATGATTGTAGATGTATTTATCTGAACATTCACAGCCAACTTGGCTACCCCAGCTGCACATGGAAGAGTGAAAATGCAATATTTAACAAGAATTTTATCCCTTCTATCTGGAGATAAACGGCTCTAAATTCATGGAATTAAGACCCAGGCAGTTAAGACTAAGAAGAAAATGTTGTACATAAATGGCTCTGTGTTCTCACTCTGCTTATTCAAATTTTAACAAATCTTCAGAGCTAAGCCTCATCTTCTGAGAAAATTCCCAAGAAAACAACAGCCAATGGAGGTCTTGCTTTCTTGGTAATCCATAAGAAATATGCTTTGTGCCAAACATTTCAGCACATGCTTATTTCCAGTTTAAACATTTTCATCTTCGTACTAGTACTTTTCTTTAGTTATTAATATGTATAGGTCTGATCCTCTTACTACTATCACAAATTCCATGAAGACAAATACAGCATTACACAATACTGTGCCCCCCAAAAATATTTTTAAATTAGGTGAATCTATTCCCTATAATAATGTTTAATAATATAATATGTTTTCCAAAGACTATCTTTTAAATTAGGGTTGAAAGAATTAATTGCTGTACAAGCTCTGAGAATATATTTGCAAAACAGAGGTAAATGTTCCTTATACGTGTGAGGCTGACTGGGGAGTGAAGGAGGGTTTTTATTCAAATTAAATGTTCCTAGAGGTACGAATATCTACTTGGAAGAAATTAGAGCATTCTGAAGTTGTCAATCCCTTATGTAAAATGCTCCATGGAGTGTTAAGCATGGTGTCCACGCATCCACAGAACACATCAAAAAGGGAATGGGGGCAAGAAGACTGTGAGTAGAGAAGGAAATAAATGAGGATGAAAAAAATCAGCAGAACTCACTCACCCCATAACTACCTGTATTACACACCTGTGTATGTGAACGAATGCCTAAAAACACTTCTGCTCTCTTCCACTGTGCACCTTGCTGTCCAGTTTGAGCCCACAATTTAGAAGTAACGTTATCTTTCTTGATGAGCACCTATAGAGATAAATCAAGTAAAAGGCACTGAAGTATTTTATCTTGAGAAATTGCAAACATGTAGAATTCTTCCAGTGATTTTTTTTTTTTTAGTTGCAATATCAACATGAAGTCCTGGAGAGAAGAGCTAAGATATTTTTTATTAGATATCTTTGTTTTCTACAGCATTGTGCCCCTAGCGTACCTCACAAGCTTTCTACAATAAAGATGTGCATGAATATCTGTCAGTCAAGTCCTAAGGTATCTGGGCACCATTTAATTAAGAACTCAACTACATTAACTTTTTAAAAATCTGGCAGCAGTAACAATTGCTGTTTTATATATTAAATAATATTCATGTGGTCAAATGAGAAAGTATGGAATTGCTTACTAAAACACTCTTTTGAGAATGATCTTTCTCATTAGATGGTTCCAGAGAGGCAGTAATGTTACAATGTCAGCTCATTTCATTGTAAGCGCACAGATGGGTAAGATGAGTGAGCATCTATTTATGCTGCGCCAGTAAGAGCTTCCTGCCCAACAGCCATGAAACAAACATATTCTCATCAGTACTGTACCCCCAATGTAAAGCAGAATCCAGATTACTCTCAGAAAACTATTATGGCTCTTCTTTTAGAATGATACAAAATGAGCCATGAAGAGAGTAACTAAGGCTCAAAGGAGAGTGGAACAACTTCTGATTTTAAAATAACTGACTTACACAGTGTATTAAATGATTTCACAACATTACTTTTTAAAAATAGAATTCATACAACCAAACAATTATTCAGATAAAAGATTTGTGAAAGTCCTGACTTTTAAAAGTGAAGATGAATTTTAATGATTACATTATCTGTTTTTTTAATTAAATTCACATTTTTAAAATATAATTGGAGTTTCCAGAGTCATAGAAAAAATAATGTGTTACTAGCAAAACTATCATGAAATGATCAGTCTATAAAATTCAAATTAATTTGGAACATTATCAAGGTCAAGAAAACATCATTTCTAACCAATCAGTAAAAATCAATTTTGAAAGGCATTGAAAAAAATGTATAGCAAATGAGTCTTCTTTATATTAATACCACACTATATACAAATCACTGAGAAAAAATATGTTCAAGAAACTTACTAATGCAACATTTAATGTTATTTTATTTATCCATGCACAAAAATAAGGCATTGATATCATTTTATTCATTTGATAATTCCATACTTACAAAATTTTAATCCTTTTAAAAAAGTTCATCTACCAATACCAAGTTTTATACTGAAAAAATGAAAGCATATTTCACATCATCAATCTTAACCCCACAATATTCCAGGCAAATAATTCTCATTTTACTGACGAAAATCTTACAGTAAGTTGTAGTAATTGTTTTGCCTGAAAACATTTTTAAAAAGTCAATTTACAACAATAAGTTTTAACGTCAACCCAGAAGCCCATTTGGATGTCTTTAGATTATTAAACATAACCATGCGTGTATACACACAAATATACTTTTTAACTGTTTTCAGAACGAAGTCTCACATTATAAAAAAAATTCTAAAATTGATATGAAATTTAATATGTTTTTTGAAAGAAACTATGTTTATCTCAAGTTTCTTTAGAAAAATGAATAACAATAGCCAGGAAAATCCTAGAATAAAACAAAATAGGAGTCAGGGTAGCACCTACTACTAATATTGCAATCAACCTTTCGGAAAACGTATGACCTAGCAGTTAGTCACAGTCTGTATCTCTCTACTGGGGAAAAAGAAAGCAGGAAACTCACGTCTAATCTTGTTGCAAATATGCTAGAGATTTCTTGGCAAGCTAATAGTATTTAAAAGGGGGAGAGTCCTTATCAATAGATTGCTTCCAGCAAGATAGCCCTACTCTAAAACTGCTCATAGTACATACAATTCTGGAATTTGTGGATTTATTTCAGACAGGGCTTCCCGGAAAGAAACACATAAGCTATGAAACACAATAAACAGAGATGCTCCAAAATTGAGTTGGCTTCTTCAATATAACTGAGGTGTCTACGCATATTACTCACGAACTTTATGCATTATTCTCCACCAGGGCATATACAGTATGGGAAGACAGGACTTGGGAATCTGAATTAATATTCCAGAACTCTTCTCTGGCCTGTATATGTTGGATGCCCCAGAAAAAAAAAAAAAATACAGGACTTTCTGAAAGAATAGTTAATTCCAGAGACAGGACAGGATAAAAATAAGGTGAAGTTTGTAACATCTTGGCCAAATAGAAAGAATATGCTCAAAGAATAATGGGCCTTTTTAGAGAGACATGGAGGTTCGTTAAGAGGGACTCTTATTTCCAAATCTGAGACAGTTTGAGGAGCAAATAAATAATAATACTAATAGATTATAATACATTGACTAAAATAGAAACTTATGAGTCCACATTGATATAAAACAGTAAATGAGCAAACAAATAGAGGGATGAGAATTTTTTTTTTCCAACATGAATCAAACCTACAAATGTGGACAGAATAATTGAGTTAGAACATCACAATTAGGCAATCAGCATTGTAAAATTAGTTCAAGCAAAAAAAAAAAAAAAAAAAAGCAACTACTGAAGGCAAAAATTTGTGGGTAAAATGGAGATGAAATAAATATTTTACACATCCTTAAAATATCTCTTGGCAAAATATTTATTGATAACAAAAAAAAACAAAAGTAATGGGGCTTATAAGGATCACTAACAGGATGCAATAGAAATAACACCATATTGGTTATATAATAGGAAAAAAGGGCTTAACACAATAAAATTTAACTAAGAGACATTTTACAAAATGACTTGGCTATGGGCTTTTAAAATATCAAGTTTATAAAAACCTAGGGAAGATAAGGAATTATTCCTGTTTGAAAGACAGTAGAAAGAAATAACTTGGTATAATATATTATCCTATACTGGATTTTTTTTTTCTATAGGGGACATTACCAGGACAACTCGTTTTTTTTTAAAAAAAAAATAAGATCTCTGAGTGAAGTGTATATTGGAGTTGTCTGTGCTGTTCGTGAAACATTTATGAGTTTAAAACAGCTTAACGTTTTTAACAGAGAAACATTTTGAAAAAGACTATTACAGAATGTAGCACTACTACCATCAAAGGCAACAAGAAGACACATCCAGATATTACCCAAGTGTATATATTTATTTGATTGTGGTTATACTCAGAACACTGATACTGATACCTGCATATGTTTCAAGTGTAAAATAGTATTACCCAGAAGCTGTAACCTCAGCATAGAGACAACATTCATAATTAAATAGAATAAAAATTACTTATTAGCTATTCATGTCCAATTCTGCTAAAGCTTTTACTCCATATACCACTATAAATCTAGTGAAGTGTTGGTAATTGTCCATTTTCACTTATTAACAGAATATATTTTAATGATACCAAATTATGCACTGTGAACTTTTAGAGAGAAAATTCAGAAAATGTGATTGCCTAAGCAGTACCTGGAGAGAACCAACGGTGGCCCCATTCATATGTGTCCAGAACACCAAGGTACATTTTGGTCCCGTGAGTGAAATGATAGGAGTGAGAATGTCAGCCGTGTCACCAAATTTCCCATTAGAACTGTCAGCATACAGGTACCAGCCATCAGTGGTATTTCTGGAAAAGGAATTTATCATATTATAAAAGGAATAAGAGGCCGGGCACGGTGGCTCACGCCTGTAATCCCAGGAATTTGGGAGGCTGAGGCAGGTGGATCACCTGCAGTCAGGAGTTCGAGACCAGCCTGGCTACCATGATGAAACACCGTCTCTACTAAAAATACGAAAAAATAAGCTGGGAGTGGTGGCGTGTGCCTGTAATCCCAGCTATTCAGGAGGCTGAGGCAGGAGAATCACTTGAACCCAGGAAGTGCAGGTTGCAGTGAGCTGAGATCGCGCCATTGCACTCCCGTCTGGGCAACTAGAGCGAAACTCCGTCTCAAAAAGAAGAAGAATACTGTGAAACATAGTACAGTTTGTCACTAACCATATTTTATTGCTTTATATTTTTTCCTAAAAGTATAATGTGTTATATAGCTTAATTATGGTCCATTATCTTCATCAGAAATAATACTTCTGCCACTTTGATTTTGAACCCATAGTCCTTGTAATGATATCAATTGGTACAATGTGTATAAAATTATGACAAAGACTGAAACTACCAAATCTGTAATAACTTGGTTGATATTTTTGCAATAATACCACTAATACTCTAATCAGCTTTTTAGAGCTCATTTTAATGTGAATAAAATGAGGCCCTAAAGCACTGATTGCCTTTAGAAGAAACATAAAAGGAAGGGGAAAACATGAATAAGTAGGAGATGAAAAACAGGAAACCGGTCTGGGCTTCAACTTATCAGTCTCAAAGGGTTTCCATTCAAATTTACTCTCTCTATATTGATTTAGCTCAGTTTCACTTCAACACATTTTAGTAACCTTGTATATAATTTTAAAGAATATCCTTTCTTTCCTAGGCTTAAATTAAAAAGGAAAAATAATGATGGAAACAATTAAATACGATTTTTTTTTGCCATAAAAGAAAGAATTTATGACCCTACTTGGACAATTAATTCAAAAAAGAGAATAAAACATTAAAGTCATTCTAGGTTATATACAGCTTTTTGAAGCATAAAGAAGTGATCCGCACAGTTTGGGTATTCTGGCACTCTGTTTTGGATTAACTTGATTTCTTGCCACTTTCTAAATTAAATATAGATGCTAGAAACTACAGAGTTTAAATTTGCTTCTTATTAAAGCTATTTTATTTTGAAATTTTTTATCATTTTGGGGGAATTATGAAGAGCAAACAGATGGAAAGAGAGGTGGAAGTAGTCATTCAGTCACCATGTATTTACTGAGTGCTCAGTCTTGCAGGTCTTGCCAGTGGCTGTCCAAGTTTCTACGAATATAATTGTCTGCAAAAGACACAGCAGGGTTTGGCCTCAGGCCTCCTCATTTACTAGATGGTCAATTTAAGGCAGATTATTTAACTTCTCTAAACATCTTAGTTTCTTCATTTCAGAAAATGAGACAGTTCCATGTATGGTGTTAATAAGAATCATAAATAAAATATGTGTAATATCTAACACAGTACCTGGCCCATTTATATATTTAAAAAATGGTAGTTGTAATTTGTGGTTATATATATATCATTCATTCTTCCTAATGAAATAAGTAGTGTCATGCAAACCACAGAGTTATGAGTTAATTTTTAAGACGCAGAATTATCATTTATATTTATCTGAATTATGTCTCAATGAAAAAGCATTTCCAGTTCTCTTATATATCATACGTTAAATATCCCAGTATAACAGGGATACGCAGAACAAAGATGTATATACTTATACATCCAGATACATAGAGGCAACAGTCAAGAAAAAACTGCATGCACATATCTATATGTATATGATTTATTTAACCTGTAAATCTTTCTTTAAGCATATGTCAGGATTATTATAATTTTATACTTCATTGAAAATTATTTCAATGTGCTACATCTAAATGTCCACCAGGAAATTGAGTTCTACTTATGAGATATAGCTTGAATTGTCCATGCCTCTCCAATTTTAATGCTACCACCTCATTAAATTTTTACTACCTCTTGCTTAGAATAATAAATCTCCTCATTGGTCTTTCACATCTACCGTTGATTCACTCTATTCATTCTTCACACATCACTTAGAATAATTTTTTTAATGGAGATTGGATTAAATCATGTCCCCCAATCCACTTCTTAAAACCTGCTAAAGTCTTTTTAATTGACATAGGATACCAGGAAGTGGGAGCAAGAAGGAAAAAAGTGAAGTTGATTAATGGGTGCAAACATACAGTTTAATGGAAGAAAAAGATCTAGTGTTTGATAAATCAGTAGAGTGACTATAGTTTACAATAATCTACTGTACACTTCTAAGTGGCTAGAAGGGAATAGTTCAGATGTTTCTAACAAAAAGAAAAGACAAATATTTAAGGTGATGAATATCCCAGGTATGCTGATTAGATCTTTATGATTTAGTTAAATGTATTAAATTATCACATGTACTCTGGAGCTATTTACATCTATCATGCATCAATTAAAACATAGTTTTGAAATAATTAAAAATATATATTTAATATGGCTTACAAATCTCTACATAACTTATCTCTGTCTCCCAGTAGGAATGGGAGTTGGGAAGAGATGATTCCCATCATCCTTCCTGAGCCAATACAATCTGACTCCAGTACAACACTGCATGTGTGAATTATCAAACAAATTGATTTAAAGATTAAATGAAATCCCAACACATTCCCAACAGACTTTATTTTTCAGAAATTGGAAAACTAATGTTAATGAAATACAAGAAGACAGGAATAGCCAATTTTATCATGAGAAGAACAGAGGTGCAGGACTTAATCAGACATCAAGACTCCTTCAGGACACAAGCATGGGCAAAGACTTCATGACAAGAACACCAAAAGCAACTGCAACTAAAGCCAAAATAGACAAATGGGATCTAATTAAACTAAAGAGCTTCTGGTCAGCAAAAGAAACTATCAGAGTGAACAGGCAACCTACAGAATGGGAGAAAATTTTTGCAATATAACCATCTGACAAAGTTCTAATATCCAGAAGCTACAAGGAACTTACAGAAATTTATAAGAAAAAAAACAACCCCATCAAAAAGTAGGCACAGGATATGAATAGACACTTCTCAAAAGAAGACATTTATGCAGCCAACAAACTTGAAAAAAAGCTCATCATCACAGGTCATTAGCGAAATGCAAATCAAAACCACAATGAGATACCATCTCATGCCAGTTAAAATGGTGATAATTAAAAAGACAGGAAACAACAGATGCTGGAGAGGATGTGGAGAAATAGGAATGCTTTTACATTGTTGGTAGGAGTGTAAATTAAATTAGTTCAACCATTGTAGAAGACAGTGTAGCAATTCCTCAAGGATCTAGAACTAGAAATACCATTTGACCCAGCAATCCCATTACTGGGTATTTACCCAAAGGAATATAAATCATTCTACTATAAAGACACATGCACATGTATGTTTATTGCAGCACTACTTATAATAGCAAAGATTTGGAACCAACCCAAATTCCCATCAATGATAGACTGGATAAAGAAAATTTGGCACATATACACCATGGAATACTGTGCAGCCATAAAAAAGAATGAGTTCATGTCCTTTGCAGGGACATGGATGAAGGTGGAAACCATCATCCTCAGCAAAGTAACACAGGAACAGAAAACCAAACGCTGCATGTTCTCCCTTATAAGTGGGAGCTGAACAATGAGAACACATGGACACAGGAAGGGGAACATCACACACTGGGGCCTGTCGCGGGGTAGGGGTAAGGGGAGGGAGAGCATCACGACAAACACCTAATGCATGCAGGGCTTAAAACCTAGAGGATGGGTTGATAGGTGCAGCTAACCACCATGGCACATGTATACCTATGTAACAAACCTGCACATTCAGCACATATATCCCAGAACCTAAAGTAAAATTTGAAAAAAAAAAAAAAAAAAAAAAGCAGTTTTATAAAACTCAGGTTAGCAGTTTACCAATTCCATTTCATATGTGGCTACAAAAGAAAATAACTCTAAAAATTAAGATGTTTTTGTCTACAAATGCATTAAATGTTTTAAATGCAATAAATGCTTTAAGTTTAAAAAAAAAGACTCATTATAAAGGTATAGTTATCAGGTGCTATGGTGTGAACATTTGTGTTCCCCCCAAATTCACATGTTGAACTCCTAAATACAAAGGTGATCATCTTATTACGCAGGGCCTTTGGGGAGTCGATTAAGTGACCTTAATGAGATTAGTGCTCTTACAAAGGAGACCCCAGAGAGCTAGCAAGTCCCTTCTACCGCGTGAGGAAACAGCAAGCAGGCACCATCCATGAAGGAGGAAATAGGCCCTCACCAGATACCAATTCCGCCAGCACCATGATCCAAGCCTCCAGAACTGTGATAAATAAATGTGTTTTATTTATAAGTCTCTTTGTTTATGAGATTTTTTGTTACAGCAGCCTGAATGGGCTAAAACATTAAGACAGAGTGGAATTAGAACAAGAACAAACAAACAATCCAGAGAACTATAAGAAATAGTCCTGAAACAGATCCACATGTATTTGGACATCTGATTTATGAAAAGTGTGGCTCTTGTGAAGTACTGATGGAAAGAATAACGTTTTTTATAAATGAACTGAATAAGTTAGTTAGCCATGAGGGGAAAAATGAACCTTGACTGGTATTTCACAGCATTCGAAAATAATAAATTCCAGGTAGATTATACTTGGAATGAAAGCTTATATAACATAACAATACCTTCCTGATGTGGGAGTAAGAAAGTTTGTTTTCAACAGTATATAAAAATCACTAACCGTAAAGGAAAATACTGAAAAAAAGAGACTGCATTCAAAATAAGGATTTCTGTTTATCATAAAAATCAATATGATGTAAAGGCCAACCAGTCAATGGGAGAGAACATTTGTATCACGTTAAATGAATATAACATTTATTGATTGCTTTCTTTGTAGCATGCACTACGCCAGATGTTCAACTGTGTGTGTGTGTGTGTGTGTGTGTGTGTGTATGTCTGTGTACGTTATTATATGTACATATTTATTTAACTATATACCTGCCAGCTAGAACTGGATAAAATATCCCAAAATGTTGATATATTTATTGCTTTACTTAGGGACCATATCCATTTTGTTGTCTACACAGGGTCTAGCAGACCTACAAAATAGGCAAAATAACCAAGTGAATTTAAAATTAATAAAGCACATGTGTAATAAAAATATAAGGGTATGACAGAAATTGTAGACTCAGATGAAATTATACATAAAAAGTTGATCACTGTTTCAGGCTGGGGAAAAAATAAAACGTAAGAAGAGACAGAACAAGGCTAATAGATCTGGAGACCATGGAGAAATTACGTGACTAGAGGTCACAATTCTAGAAATGATAAAAGCATATGTCACTGGTTCTTCAAGTAGAGGTCCCTGTATTAATTTCCCAGAAACTACACAAATAATAAAAAAAAAAAACCCTAAGGTAACCAAGGTATAATTTCCCCAATCCAACAGAATTCTAGAAAATGCAATCATAAGGACAAATATAAAATAAACTATGGAAACAATTCTCTAATATTATATATCTCTGAAATACCCCTTTCACCTGCAGGGAAAAGAAAAAAAAAAGGAGATATGTCAGGAGATCAATTTGAAAAATGCAAACAACAAAACTGCATTTGTGTTTTTATCAAACTGTGAACAGTACAATGTAGCAATATATCATTTGGTTGCCAGTCTTATAGGTATTAATTAGGGGCACATGATGTATGTATGATTCCTAATGGAAAAATGAAGAATTGCATAAACACTTGCCTATGTCTGCAATGAGATTATTCAAGCATAAACCTGCAGAGGAAATCAGCTCCTCTCCTGGAATGAGTACACCAGTAATGACCACAGCTAACAGTACTGTCACTCATAAAATATCAGCATCCCTCTACCAACCTTCAAATTATCTTTTCTCATACAGAGCGGGAAGTAGGACATTTTATAGAAGCATATCTTTTTCTAATAAAACATATCATAAACCACACAGTAGTAAAGGTTTAAGAAAATCGTGCTTTACTTTCAGGTGTTGCAAAAGTAAGGATCCAAGGTGATAATGTACAAGTCATTTTAAAAGTCATTACATAAAAAGAGATCTGATTTATAGTCCATGCTATTTTCACAAAAGTTGCCTAGGTCTTACAGGATAATCAGTTTCTAAACTCTTACTATCACACAGATTAAGTAATTAAAACACTGACTATGTTTTCCTTTGTTGAGAATCTCCTGAGTAGTTACTCTAATTCAATAAGTAGGAAAAAATACCCATTCTTGAGCAAATCAAGATATTTTTCAGTAAGGCCCATCAATCTGTGGGCCTGGACACACACAGTATGAGAGACATATTCTCCAGAATCAGATGGAATTTGTCCTTTGATTCACTGTGCTAACTTAGGCTGTTTTAGCATATCTGACAAGACATAATCCACCAAAAAAGCTGTTGTGAACAATACTTTGAGCTGCAGAAAATACAAAAAACTTGCTATGGTCTGAATGTTTAGAGTCCATACCCCAAAATTTGTATGTTGAAATCCTACTCTCCAAGGTAATGTTATTAAGGAGTGGGGCCACTGGGAGGTGGTTGGGTTTTTAGGGTAAAACTGTCATGATTGGGATTACTTTCCTTAGAAAAGAGACCCTAGAACTATCTCAGCTTTTCCACCATGGGAAAACACAGCTAGAAGTCTCTATCTGCAAATAAGAAACCTCTCAGCAAATATGTCAGTGCCTTGATCATAGCCTTATTAGCCTTCAGAACTGTGAGAAATATATGTTTGTTGTTTATAAGCAACCCAGTTTATAGCATTTAGAAACAGGGGCCCAAATGAGCCAAGCCAGTGTTCAATAGTACTAGCATTCTTTAAAAAAATTTTTTAAGTTTTGATTTTTGTGTGTATCTAGTAGGTGTGTGTATCTTTACGGGCACATGAGATATTTTGGTACAGGCATGCATGCGTAACAATTACATCATGGAAAAATTGGTATCTATCTCCTCAAGCATTTATCCTTTCTGTTACAATCTAATCATATTCCTTTAGTTATTTTAAGGTGCACAATTAAATTATTGACTATAGTCTCCCAGTGTGCTAGCAAATAGTAAGTCTTAATCATTCTATTTTTTTGTACCCATTAACTATCCCCACCTCTGCCTTGCTCCCCATACTACCCTTCTCAGACTCTGATAACCACCATTCTATTCTGTATCTCCATGAGTTCAACTGTTTTATGTCCAGATCCCACAAATAGGTGACAGCACTAGACTTCTCATAGTTTCCACAGCATCACCCTGGTATCTGCAGCAGATCATTCCTCGTTGTGCGGAACTGCTCCCCATTCCCACTACCAACCCCATTGTGTGATGATAAAAGTCCCTGACCCACCAACTGCTGGAGTAAGTGGGCTTCGTAAACATGTCAGACCAATCAGAGTTCTGGTGTGGGATTTTAGAATGTAAATTAATGAAAAAAAGAACATTCTGTATTGTTTGCCCAGTCTTCTTACTGGCTGACTCCCCAGAGTTTGGAAACAGCTCTGGCCAACCCCATAGCTCCACACATGCCCTCTCCACTCTGCTGCAGTATTCCAGAAGAAACCAAGAAAGTCTTGTTTTTGACTTTATTGGTCCTTTCCAAAATACACATCTGATCCTAATATCCTGCATAGAAATGTTCACTACATCTTTACTGATTCAAGGTGAAGTCTTTAACTAAACTGTATGGCATTGCTCTGGAAGTAAATACACAGTGTTAATAGAACATGTATATTTACCTGCAGAGCAATTGTCCTTAGTAAATTATGTAAATTTACTAAGGAGTTTCCTTAGTAAATTACTTAAATTTACTAAGGAGTTTCCTTAGTAAATTACGTAAATTTACTAAGGAGTTTAATAGTACCAATATAAAGGAGGCACAGAGAAATAAAAGTGCATGATTTATTTAAGTAAAGGCATGAACCCATGAAATGGGTATATGTGGATGTCTGAGTAAATTCATAGGTATATGAATTTAGTATAACAGTATACTACTATACTATTTTAGTAAAATTGTACCATTTTAGTAAAATAATATAACTATTTATAAGTAAACATTATAAATAATAAAATAATTTAAAAATTTCAGCTAATATGGACTGTGTGCCTAGTAAATTATATAAATTATATAATACATACATATTATATACATATATATTACATATTAGATATATATTATATAACATTATAATATGCAATATATAATTAAATATGTATTATATATAATTATATATAATATATAACTATAGTCATATAAATAATATTTATATATTTATATAAATAATATTTATAATTTATATAAATATTTATAATTTATATAAATATTTATAATTTATAATTTATATATTTATATAAATAATATTTATATTTTTATATATTTATATAAATTATAGTTATATATTTATATAAATTATAGTTATATATTTATATAAATTATAGTTATATATTTATATAAATTATAGTCATATATTTATATAAATTATATTTCTATAAATTATATTTATATATTTATATAAATTATATTTCTATAAATTATATTTATATATTTATATAAATTATATTTCTATAAATTATATTTATATATTTATATAAATTATATTTCTATAAATTATATTTATATATTTATATAAATTATATTTCTATAAATTATATTTATATATTTATATAAATTATATTTCTATAAATTATATTTATATATTTATATAAATTATATTTCTATAAATTATATTTATATATTTATATAAATTATATTTACATATTTCTATAAATTATATTTACATATTTCTATAAATTATATTTACATATTTCTATAAATTATATTTACATATTTCTATAAATTATATTTACATATTTATATAAATTATATTTACATATTTATATAAATTATATTTATATATTTATATAAATTATATAAATTTACTAAGCACACATTCCAGATCAGCTGGAATTATTTTTTCCATAGCAAGATTTTCTTGATAAAGTGAATTAATTTGCATTCTATGAAACCTCTTTATCTGGTCATATATAACACTTATACCTAACGATCAAGAGACCGGCACTTCACGTTGCGCTGGTCTACAACTGGGGTCAGAAATTTTTTTGGTAAAGATCTAGATAGAAAATATTTCAGACTTTGAAGGCTATATGGTCTCTGTTATAACTATTCAACTCTACCTTTGCAGTAAGAAAGCAGCCATAGATACTACTTAAAAGAGTGGTATGGCTATGTTCCAATAAAACCATATTTACAAAAACAGGCATCAGATTGGATTTTGCTTACAGGCTATAGTTTGCTCACTGCTGTTCTACAGATAAAGATTCAGCCTGTTAGGCTCTGAGGAATAACTTTCTATTGCAATTTCTACCTTCAAATTTACATAAGTATTCGGACACCCAGATATGCCCATTTCATGGATTCATGCAATTACTTAAATACATCATGCCTTTTCATTTCTCTATGCCTCCTTTATGTTGGTCTTTCTTCTGGGCACACTTATAACTTCTGGTATTGGTCCTCCTTCCATAATACTTACTAATCTTCCACAGTATATTTCAAATGTACCCTCATTTTCAAGCCTTTTTAGATTCCTAGACTCAAGTTTCTAAACTCAAGATTTCTTGATTCACCTAAGAATTCTACAGCACCTTCCATGTAATTTTTTCAATGCATTCAACATTATAGATATCAATTCATTGACTACATAGCTGGATGCCCAGTAAGTTATAAGTTATACATACCAATGCACACATTTTTAACTTCTTTATTATAATATCTAGAATCTCTTGAAAAGTAGCTTGAACTCAAGTGGCACTCAGCAAATATTCGCTGAATCTGTTGCTAAATAAAACTGACAGAGGATTCTTGCTTTTCTATATGAAATTCTCCTTTATGAAGTAAGGCATCTTGATTTTGAAAATACACTTACAATTTTATCAGAGTGCTTTTAGATTTCTCTTTCCTAGTCTCATGAAATAAAAATGATGTGATGACAACATTTGTTGAAATGTTACAGAACCACCTAGGGTTTAACCAACTAAAAAATTCAATAACAAAGGTATCAGAGCCAACTATTCTCATTAGGGGCAACCACAGTTCCTGTTTCAATATTGTATGACATTCACTGGAGAATAACACTTTATGGGGCAAGTATAAACACATGAATAAAAAAGTCTAAGAAATTACATGATGTAATATATTTTATTTAAGACCTAATTTCAAATAGGACTCTAAGAGTCTCAGTAAATACGTATTAGACCTTTATAAAACATTTTAATTGATTCATAATAGATGTACATAGTTTGAGGTATGTGTGATCATTTAATACCTTCATATAATTTGTAAAGATCAAATTGGGGTACTTGGGATATCAATTACCCTAAATTTTTGTCTTTCCTTCATACTAGAAACATTCAAATTATTCTATTCTAGCTATTTTGGGGAAAAAAGTCTCACAAAAGTAAATATCATCTTTGTAAATTAGATTTTAGGCCAAAAAACATTCACATCTGAGATGTATGAAAATTTTAAATTACAGATTTTAGATCAGTCTTTAAGTTAGGAGGCGGCTTTTAAGTTAATTGCTTAATATTTTCAATATTCATTTAATATTAATAATATTTATTGAAAATTGTTTAATATTTTCAATAAATCTGAGAAGTAAGGATTATAATCATGACTATTTCCTAGATGAGTTAACTAAAATTAAATAATCTGCCAGTGGTAATTTGCATGGTGAGTGCTGAAGCCAGGATTTGAAACAGATTGATGTGCAAATGTTATAGACTGTAAACCACATGTTCTCTTAGTGTAGCACCTGATTTGGCAACATCAGCATCACCATGTTGCTTGTTAAAATGCCATTTCTTGGGACCTATCTTACACCTGCTGAATCAGTAACTCTGGAGTGAGGGTTCAGTAATCTAACAAAATCTCTAGTTTGTTTTGCTGCATACTAAATTCTTGACCTCTTGGAAGATGTTCCGTTTTTACAATGATCACTGTGGCTTTCCTTTTCAGCCACTGATCGTTTCCCTGCCCTTCATTTCTACTCATGTCTAACACTAATTCACCTGCAGTAGCATTTCCCAGATTCTTCTGAAAGGAAATTTAAAATCTAATTTCATCTAAATGTCATCTAAATTTCATCTAATGTCATCTAAAATCAGCATACAGCCTAAGAGTCTATAGGAGGAAAGCAGTGTAGAAGTAGTTGATGGGGTGGTAGGCATGTCAGATGTAAATGATGATCACCATTTTGCAAATGAGTCAAAGTTTTCCAGTCTCATTCTTACACCCTTCAATATTATCAGGGTCTGAAAAAAACTGGAAAAGTATCTTGTGTTTAAAATTTAAATGGCTCCTATATATGTGTATTCACATATTGAAACACTTTTCTAGATGTTAAAGACTACGATGCTTTCAAATTTTAATCCCTTATACCTCTGTGCCATTATACATATACATATACACAAACTCTCTCTCTCTCTCACACACACACACACACACATATACACATATATATATATATATATATATACACATTCCTCTGTGCCCTGTACTGAACCAGAGGTTAATTAATAGAGCATAAAAATAGCTATAAGGTCTAAAACTATCCACTGTAATGTGTTATACAGAAAAAGCCGACCCTTGGATATAAACATTCAATGGAAAAACAGATAAGTTTGTTCTAGTTCTTAACCTCCTCACAGTCACATTTACATGAGGGAATTCACGTGGTGCCATTTCTTTCCTGTGTTTTGCCACCAGAGTTCAGTTTCTGTATTTTAATGCGTGGTATATGTACTTTGTTAAGATGATCATGAATTATCATTCTTTGACCTTTACATTGCCCTACAGCTTTGCTCATCAGCAACTGCCTTTATCGGTTATTTATAGCATCATGGCCTGTGATGGAAAGGCCAATCTAAATTCTGAATATATAAAAGATGCAGATAATGCTGGAAGTATTTCAGAAGGTAAACAAATATCACCACAGTGTTTTGTGGCCTATCACTGTTTTTATAATAACATGAGTACAAAATGTCACAACTGGAATTTATTCTAAGGCAATGCTAGCAGTGAGATGGAAATTTTACAAGCTTTAACAGTTTAAATACTGTTGAAAGGAAACTTTGATTTGAACATGAATAGTGAAAGGGTCTAATCCAAATGAGTCAAATTCAGGATAATTTAAGAGCATATTTTCCCACTTCATAAAATTATATCATTGCATTTCATTTCTACCCTGAGCTTTGAAACAGTGTTGATTATATTGACAGACATATAGATTGTTCATAATTTACATATTTTAGAATTTTATTGATAAAAATATTAAAATCTTGAACTTAATGACTTAATTTTAAAAAATATATTAAGTAAAAATTGTTTACTTTTAAAAATCTTTATTTTCTCATTAAGTCACTAGAATACTTTCAGTTCATCACATCCTAGCAAATGTTCAGTTAGAAAATTTTGTATTTAATTTAAAAGGGAATAAAAGGTAAACACCAGCAGGAAATTTAGATATTTACTTTAAAGTAGATATGAGAAAATGTAATTTTAAACCTAGGAATTTCCCCAAATTCTAGCTCAAGACATTTTTCTGTGTCTTTCTTCTTTTTTTATAAGAAACTTCCTACATACTCATGAAAAATATAACCAAGGTTAATAAAAGTAACATATCTGTGCATGAGTTAAGAATATAACTCATAAGGGAATAATCCACAGAAGTATTAAAACTGTATCTAAGCAGCTTAGAAAAGAGAACTAATTTTATCTGAAAGATGTTATTATTGTTACTGTATCTCTTTTGCCCTTGTCTTCAGCATCTCCTTAACATAAATGAACTATTCTCTTTTGTCCAAATATTATGTGTTTCAACTTTTTCTTTTTATCATTCAAGGTATCCTTCTCTTCTCATGGCCTAATCTGAGACGAGCACTAAAATAGATGTTGACTAAAAAGTAAATTAGTCAGTGTCGTTTCCCTTGAGATGCTTACAGACTCATGCGGGAGTTAAGTGAATTAATACTGATGGTATTCTGGGACATGCACTGTAATATAGATAATACCCGGAGAAGGGACTGTGGGATCAGACTAGAGAGAGCCATCAAGGAAAGTTGATCTTGAACTCAGTTTGGAAAGATGATTACGAGATCGTTTAAAGAAGGCACAGTGGCACAAAATAGAGTCATATTGGAAGAACAGATGGATTAATTGCATGGATAAGAGAAGTAGGCTGCTGACTGAGTCCAAAACAAGAAGCCTGGGCCACACAATGAAAGATCTTAAGACCAAATTTAGGAGATGAAGAACAGCTATTTGGATGTCTTCTGGTTTTCTTAAACTAAAGAATTCAAAACTAAGATGGATTATCTCCTGTGTTCACAGAACATTCCTAATTGGACTTCTGACAATCCAGGTTTGCAAGTTTAAAGCTAATGGTCCTCTTTATCTAGCTGCTTTTTGTTTTTCAACATGCATTTCCAATTAATCATCATACTGTATTGCCTTTACACCACGAATGTATCACAATTCAGCGTTTAAATATAGTTATCCCTTCAATTGTCCTTTCTAACACTGCTCCTTATTCATCACTTACTCAGAAGATTTCAACAATGAAGCGGCTCCCGTGCATAAAATCATGCCCTACTTAAATCAGTCTCTGTTACCAATAACGTCAGTAAAAAAGCAAATCTAAGCACATCCTTTCCTTCATTTCCTGTCTCTTTTATGACCCTACTCTTTGCAAAATAGTCCCAACTGTGAGGACCTTTACTCAGTAAAGGTTCCATTAGCCTTCTGACCTTGAATTAGATTTGGCCTGTGTGAGACACTGACAAGAGATTGGAAAGTGAGAGGAAAGAGTTCACAGTATTTATTTCCACAACTCCAATCCCTTTCCTCCCTGACTCACTGTGGGAGCTGGTCTCTTTTAAAGCCTTTTCTTTTGGATGGGGCAATCTGGTCTCCTTCCCTTGTCCCTTTGGATTTAGGTGTTGCTGGTCTTTCAGTGCATCACTCAATCCTTTGTAGTCTTTGCAGTAAAGTCTCTGATTAAATTCTTTGTGCCAGCTGTTTCCCGCCTGGGCCCTAATTAATATAGCCCCCATCCTAGCCTTTACCTATCTCATTTTTCCCCATGGAGCCTACCATTCTGTCACAGGTTACTTAACACCACTGTACAGTTAACCTAGGACTCTTCATTGATCCCTGTTTTTACAAAATCTGTCAACTCTTTTTAGAATACTTTTAACCAGCTAGTTCATGCCATACATTTCTCAGTATTAAACACCAACACCACCTTTTCACCTGTTCACACAGTCTCTACTTACTTTCAATCTGTCTTTGACTATCTCACCTAAGCAAATACTTTTTTGTCATTTCCCCCAGCACCTGGAACGGTGCCTGTTCAGTATAGTACCTTTTAACAATAGTGGCCCATAACACTACTACAGATATACTGTAGAGAACCCTATATATAATAAATTTCAGTTACAGAGGTATAAATATGGTCTGGTAAGTAGATATATTTTGGTAAAAATTCCCTCCCATCTTTTATAAAAATGAAGTAAGCAGAGAAAATAAAAGAGATACTATAAATTCTTAAATATTGGTGAGTGTTGTTATTTAAAGACTCTGAATAAAAGGTAAAGGCACCACATTGAAGGAGCCCAAGTTTCTACTCTGGTTGCCATCTCTTCACTAAAAAAAATTATGCTCCATGAATCACCTCTGTGAGAATCAATCTCCACTGAATTCAACAGGCAAGCATAAAAACAAAAGAAACTCTGGTTCATTTAACAATGACAGAACAATGTTAAATTTAGATTTATGGTAATAGAACAAACCTTAAATCCTGTAATTTCCAATGCATTTGTTTTTCTTAATTCTGATTTGCAATACAAGCCCAAAACCCAGATTACAAAATATATCTTCATTTTTAAAAAATCTAAAACAAACAGAAACATACTCAATATAATATTAGTCTCTCATACTACCTTGTCAGTTCAGCTGTCTTTGATTTATTACATTCTTAGTACAAAATAATTGTTTTTAAGATTAAACTGCATTTCTTTCTCTGAATTTGGAAATTTACATTAGGCAAGCTCTTTTGTTCCAAACACTGGACTAAAGCTCGGAGGGCCTGAGATAGGAAAGGCACACTTTTTCTCTAATGGGCTCACAACGTAATAGGAGAAATGTGTTCTTAAGCCAGTAATTACAGTAGGACAAGTACGGCCAGGTATACTGTCTGACTCTGTAAAGTCATGCTAAACTCTACCTGGGGACAAGATATGGTAGCATCTCAAGTAAGTATAAAATAGAGAATTATGATATCTTCTTAGAAGAAGAACAAAACAGCCTGCAGAAACTATTATCTGGACTAGACTAAGCTTAAGACTCCCCCTAGGCCAAGTTTATCCTCCTCACTCTGTCCACTTCTGCTAATCTTTCCCTAGTCTATTACTTCTTTTTCTATTTCTGGATATAAAGAAGGTCCTAGTATTTTACATCACTGTAGAATGAGTATAGATAACAATAATATACCATATAGTTTACATAGGAGGAGGATATTGAATGTTCCCAATGCAAAGCCGTGATAAATGCTTGAGATGGTGAACACCCTAATTACCCTGTTCTGATCATTACACACCATATAAAATCAAAACAATTGAACACACAGACATGCAGAATAGAAGGATGGTGTTACCAGAGGCTGGAAAAGGTAGTGGGAGTCTAGACGAAATGTAGGGATAGTTAATGAGTATAAAAAAAATAGAAAGAAACAATAATACCTACTACTTGACAGCACACTGGGGTGACTACAGCCGATAATAACTTAATTGTACATTTTAAAATAACTAAAAGAATGTAATTGGACTGTTTTTAACACAAAGGATAAATTCTTGAAGGAATGGATACCCCATTCTCTATGACGTGATTTCTCATTTCATGCCTGTATCAAAACATCATATGTAACTCATAAATATATACACCTACTATGGACCCACAAAATTTTTAAAAAAGATAAAAGCATTACCATGTACCCCATAAATATGTGCAATTATTATTTGTCAATTAAAAATTAAATTTAATTAAATATTCAAGAAAGAAACAACTTTAGCGTAAGGTCAGCAGTAGGTTGGTAGGTAGCAAAATTCTAATTCAATTTTTTTCATTCCAAACCCAATTCTCTATCCAATATTTTTCCTCCCCACTATAAAACTATGGAGGATAACTATGTCTCTGGCATTAGCTTCAGCATGTTGTTTTCACTACCAATTTGCCTCAAAGAGCCATGCCATGCAGTTTGCAAGTAAAAATGTGCCTCAGTCTGTTTCCTTAAGAAATGATCATCCTTTGAACTAATAATATCTCATCCACACCCCGAGTTATATATCACTGAAACTGTATTTTATGACTGAATGTGTCAAATTCTCAATTTTTCACATCTCTCAAGCTAAAAAGTTAGAATTACTAGCTGTATTCAGCTCAGCTCTTCCAAATCTGATGGAGAGACTGCCTCCTGACAGTTGAGGGCTCATAGAAATCGGGTCCCAGCAGAATCACAGCATATGGTACAGATAAGGCAGTAGTGTCAGGCAGAACTAATTCATCAAGTATCCCCCTTAGACAAATTAATGGAATACAGATGAAAATCCTTCGGTTCAGGTGAGAGAGTTTGATGTTTCTGTAGCTGAGAATAGTTATGTCCGACCAAAGTATATAATGGGTACCCACTTTTGCACAATAAATGTGCAATGCATCCCAACTAAAGAAACAATAATATTGTTTATGTCATAACTGCAGACCCCATGAAGCATAATTTTTAAAATGTTGTTCCCTTACAATTCCAAGGTCTCTGTCATATACCCTCTGTTCAGCATGATTTGATGGTTCTCCTTCTGATATGTTTTGGCTGTATCCCCACCAATATCTCATCTTGAATTGTAGTTCCCATAATCCCCACATGCTTTGGGAGGGACCTGGTGGGAGGCGACTGAATCATGGGGACAGTTACTCCCATGCTACTGTTCTCTTGATAGTGAATGAGATCTCACGAGATCCAGTGGCTTTATAAGGGGCATTTCCCCCTTTTGCTTGGCACTTCTCCTTGCTGCCATGTGAAAAGGAAACGTTTGCTTCCCCTTCTGCCATGATTGTAAGTTTCCTGAGGCCTCTCAAGCCATGCTGAACTGTGAGTCAATTAAACCTCTTTTATGTATAAATTACTGAGTCCTGGGTATGTCTTTATCAGCAGCATGAGAACAGACTAATATACCTTCATTTAAGTACATATATATATACACAATTAAGTATATATACAGTATATATAAGGTATATATATACTACCATACTATATATATACTATACACAGTATATATACGACACTATATATACTATACACAGTACATATACGACACTATATATACTATACACGGTACATATACGACACTATATATACTATACACGGTACATATACGACACTATATATACTATACACGGTACATATACGACACTATATATACTATACACGGTATATATACGACACTATATATACTATATATGGTATATATACGACACTATATATACTATATACGGTATATATACGACACTATATATACTATATACGGTATATATAGTATATATACTATACTATAGTATAGTATATATAGTATAGTATATATAGTATGTGTGTGTATATATATACTATATATGTAAATTAGCATTCAACCAATTCTGTATAGTATGTGTGTATATATAGTATATATATACTATACTATATATACTAGATAGTATATATATACTATCTAGTATATAGTATATATAGTATATAGTATATATAGTATAGTATAATAAATTGTATACTATATAATATATAGTATAGTATATATAATATATAGTATAATATATAATATATAGTATATATAATATATAGCATAGTATATATAGTATATATAATATATAGTATAGTTTACATAGTACATATAATATATAATATAGTATATAGTATATATAATATATATTATATATATTATATAATATATAGTATAGTATATAGTATATACATAATATATAGTATATATAGTATATACATAATAGATAGTATATATATGGTATATATATAATATATAGTATAGTGTATATATATACTATACTCTCTGTATATAGAATTGGTTGAATGCTAATTTACCCAGCAGTATGCTGAGGACAGATAATATCAGGATTAAGTTACTTTAAGAAGTAGGTATTATCCTCTAACAGGGTAAATACAGAAACAATGAAATGAAGACATAGGCTGGAAAAGAAATGAAAGATCATCAGTCAAGCTGCCCAATAATTGCCCATAGAATATAAGATCTTTCTCACAACAACAAATTGGTTCAAAATTGAAAACTTGCAATACTTTTATTTAGCTTTATATTGATTTATGCTCTAAGAATAACTCCCCAGTGCCTCGTATTAGAGCATATTAGGTCTCAAATTACATCAAAATGCACAGAAACAAAAAAAAGTTGTCAAGTCATAACCTGAAAACCTTACTTGGGGCATATTTCTTATTCGTATAATTTTCAAAGAAGAATTTCAGCTAGATTTTTGAAAAGTATTTTCTATTACAACAAAAGTAGTACTGCACATTAATGTTAGATTGCGATTAGATTCCTTGGAATTTTTAAACAAAAGATCGATGTTTTTCTTATTGCCTCATTCCACTGCGTGATATGTTAAAATAGATACGATTTGCTTTCTGAACAAGACTCCGTATACTGGCAAAAACCACAATTACTTTTGCACCAACCTAATAGAAAGTTTCATGGATTCAGTTGATAAAGTCATTCAGGATTTGCATAGTAATGCTATGAATCAACTCCAGCTCAAGGAACCACTGAAAGAAGCAGAAGGCAATGACTTCAATGATTGGGGATGCTTTGTCAATACTTTTTGGTTGATGAGGGAAGGGTTCTATGAACATCTACTGTACTATTAACTCCAATTCAAGCTTTTCTTGACAAAAAGGAATGCTTGCCAAATAGACAATAATCAGTGAAAACAAAACAGGCATTGTGATTTGTAGTTTCTCACTGATATCACAATGTGATGAACAAGCTAAATATGAAGCTTCAAGAAATAAAGAAAAGTTTATTTATGACCTTGGTCACAAAGGTGACAAGTACTAAAATCTATTTTGAAATGGAAACTTTTCATAATACAAATCAATAATAATGATGAAACATTTTTCAAACACAAATCAACATGCAGGTTAATTTAAATCCAATTGATAAGATTATGTAATTGGCTGCAGATCTACAAGAAAAATGTGAAGAATGTTTTGTTGACATTGATAAATTTAGAGTTGCTTTTCAATTTATGATGTATCCCTTTGAAATTGATGTCAATAATACCAACTTAATGCAAGCGCTAAGGAATATATTTGACTTGTACAAATGTAATTTTGAAACGGATATGCTATATTAGTCAAGAATCTCCAGAGAAACAGTAACAATAGGATATAGATAGATGATGATGATGACTAATAGATAGATGATACAGAGAGGCAGAGAGAGAGAGAGAGATGAGGGATAGACAGACAGACATTGTGGGAATCGGCTCACATAATTATGGAGGCTGAGAAGTTCCACGATATGCCATGTGTAACCTGGAGAACATGAGAAGCTGATGGCATAATTTAGTCCAAGTCCACAGGCCAGGGAATCTGAGTGGCTGCTCGTTCAAGCCAAATTCACCTTCCCGCTGTCTTTTTGTTCCTCAACGAATTGAATGGTGCCTGCTCACTTGGTGAGGACAGATCTTCCCTTTTTAGTCCAATGATTCAAATATCATTCTCTTCCAGAAACACCCTCACATACCCAGACATAACACTTGACCAGCTACCCCAGTATCCCTTAACCCAGTCAAGTTGAAACTTAAAATTAAGGATCATGTATGCTTTTGTTTCAAGGTAAAAATGATTCTTCTAAAAAGATGACCCAGTTTTTCATTTTTGGTACTGGACTTTTAAGTATATTTGAAATAACCTGAGTATATGAATCCACTTTTTCAAATGTAAATTTTAGGAAGTCCAGAGAACAACTAATTCCAATGGGATTTTAGTTTTTAAATTACAATGTAGTATGTAATATTCACACTGGATTTTGAAGATTATTTTAAAAAAGACATAAATATCTCAACTTTATATTGATTACACGTTGAAAAGATTTGTATATATTAATGAAAATAAGTTAATGTATTATAGAAATCATCTCACCCATTTATTTTTGTTTTTGTATGTTGTGGCTACTAGAAAATTTAAAATTACACACATGGCTTGCCTTATATTTCCATTGGATAGCACCAGTATAGAGTACAAGAGATATGCATTAGTTCAAGTTTGCTAATCGCATTAATTCTATGTATTTACTGTTTTGTCTATTCATTTTCTCCTCTGCAAAGTGTCTTAACATCTCCCATTTCCATTGTGAGTTTTTCTATTTATATCTGTGATTTCTGATCACTGCCAAATATTTATTTATATATTAAATAAGTTATAAGAGATACCCAAACTTGGTACTATCGTACTTGGTGTAATGACTATTTTATTTATCATTATAAAATGAATTGTTGTCTCTGTAGTAATTTTGACCTAATGTCTATTTTCTCAGATATTTATATTGTTATGCCAGCTTGCTTGTTTTGGTCTTGGGATAGTATATTATCTTTTTACCATACTATTTTCAAACTTGTTGAATCCTTTTATTTAACATGTTTATTTTTTAAGTACCATACAGTTGGGTTTTGGGGTGTGTATGTATAACTTTTCATCCAGTCTATCTTTGTCTTTCAATTGCGTATTTAGCCCAAACATATTTAATCTTTTGTTACTTTAGGGTTCAATTTTACCACCTTACCATTTTATACTCTTTGTTTCAACTTTTTGCATTTCTTCTTTCATTTCCTTCCCTAACTAACCTGAGTTAAAGATATTTTTGCTTTACTTTTCTATTTTATTAGTTGTTAGTTAAAAAATCTTATAATTTTCACATCATCTGAGAAATTAAACATATCTTTAATAGTTTTAAAAAATTCATCCCTCACCTATTGAATATTTACCTCCTTTTTATTTTTCAAAAAATTAGCCTTGAGTTGTAATTCACATACCATAAAGTTCACACTTCACGTAATTTTTGAAGTATACAACGTAGAGAATTTTAGTATATTCAGAGTTGTCAATCTCTATTAAATTCCAGGACATTTTGATCATCCCAAAAAGTAACCCCTTATCCATTCTACCTTTCTCTATCCTTTGGAAGACTTTCTCTTTCTGTAGATTTGCCCAATCTGGAAATTTCATATCAATGCAATAAAAATACATGTGGCCTTGCATTTGGCTTCTTTCACTTAGTATAATGTTCTCAACGTTCATCCATGTTGTAGCACACAACGGTCCGTCATTCCATTTTACAGCTGAATAGCATTTCCTTATACGGATATAACATTTTTGTTTGTCCATTCATAGGATGATGGTCACTGAGTAGTGGCCACATTTTATCTATTATGAATAATGCTGTTATGAATACTCATGTATAAGGTTTTTTGTGGGTATATGTTTTCACTTCTTCAGGTATACACCTATGAATCATATGGTGACTCATTCAATTGGTTGAGAAACTGCTGAGTCATATAATTCTGTTTGACTTTTTAAGAAACTGCCAGACAATGTTCACAGTTGCCTGTATAATTTTACATTACCATTAGCAAGTATGAGGACTTGAATTTCTGCACATTCTCATCAACACCTGTTATTGTCTAATTCTCCTCATTCTTATTGCCATCCTAGTGGATGTGAAGTGGTATCTCACTCTGGTTTTGATTTGAATTTTCTATTGACTACTGATGTTTAGCTTCTTTTATTTGACTTTTAGCTGTTTGTATAACTTCTTTGGAAAAACACCTACTCAAATGCTTTTCCTATTTTAAAGTAGGTTATCTGTCTTTTTATGGCTTAGTTATAAGAGTTATTTACATATTCTTTTTTTCCTTTTAAGTTTTATTTTAGGTTCAATGGGTCCATGGGCAGGTTTGTTAAATGGGTAAATTCTGTGTCACTGAGGTTTGATGTACAAATTATTTTGTCATCAGATAATGAGCATAGTACCCAACAGGTAGCATTTCAATCCTCGCCCTCCTCCCACCTCCACCCTCAAGAAGGTCCCGGTGACTGTTGTTCCCTTCTTTGTGTCCATGTGTACTCAATGTTTAGTTCCCACTTCTGAAGAAGAATATATGGTATTTGCTTTTCTGTTCCTGTGTTAATTTCCTTAAGATGATGACCTCCAGCTTCAACCCTGTCACTGCAAAGGGCATGATCTCATTCTTCTCTATGGCTGCATAGTGTTCTATGCTGTATATATGTACATTTTCTCTATCCTGTCTGCTGTTGATGGGAATTTAGGTTGATTCCATGTCTTTGTTATTGTGAACAGCGCTGCCATGAACACACATGTAGTGCATGTGTCTTTATGGTAGAATGATTTATATTGCTTTGGATATATACTCAATAATGGGATTGCTGGATTGAATGGTAATTCTGCTTTGAGCTCTTTGAGAAATCACCACACTGCTTTCCACAACAGCTGAACAGATTTACATTGCCACCAGCAGGGTATAAGCATTTACTTTTCTCCCTAACCTCGTCAGCCTGTGTTAATTTTTGACTTTTTAGTAATAGCCATTTTGACAGGTTTGAGATGGTATCTCACTGTGATTTTGATTTGCAATTCTCTAATGATTAGTGATGAACATTTCTTCATCTGCTGGTTGGGCTCCTATATGTGTAACTTTGACAAGTGTCTGCTCATGTCCTTTGCACATTTTCTAACGGGATTATTTGGTTTTGTGTGTTTGATTGATTTCTTTAAGTTCCTTATAGATTCTGGAAGTTAGGCCTTTGCCAATGCAGAGTTTGCAAATATTTTCTCCCATTCTATAGATTTTCTGTTTACTCTGTTGATAGCTTCTTTTGCTGTGCATAAGGTCTTTAGTTTAATTAGGTCTCACTTGTCAATTTTTGTTTTTGTTACCATTGCTTTGGCATCTGCTTATGAAATCTTTGCCAGGGTATATGTCCAGAATAGTATTTCCTAGGATTTCTTCTAAGGATTCTATAGTTTTAGGTTTTACATTTAAGTGTTTTAATCCACATTGAGTTGGTTTTTGAATATGGAGTAAGGAAGGGGTCCAGTTTCAATCTTCTGTGTATATCTAGCCAGTTATCCCAGCATTGTTTATTGACTAGGGGAGTCCTTTCCCCATTGCTTTTTATTGTCAATTTTGTCAAAGATCAGGTGGTTGGAGGTGTGCAGCTTTATTTCTGGGTTCTTTAACCTCTTCTATTGGTCTATGTGTCTATTTTTGTCACAGCACTATTCTATTTTAGTTACTGTAGCTTTGTAATATAGTTTATTGGGTAGTATGATTTCTCCTGCTTTATTTTTGCTTAGGATTGCTCTTGCTATTCAGGCTCTTTTTTGATTGCATATTAATTTTAGAATAGTTTTTTGAATTCTGTGAAAAATGTCATTGACAATTTGATAGAAATAGCATTAAATCTATAATTGCTTTGGGCAGTATAGCCATTTTAACATTGATTCTTCCTATCCATGAGCATGAATTTCTTTTCCGTTTGCTTGTGTCATCTCTGTTTTATTTCAGAAGTGTTTCGTAATTCTTGTTATAAAGATCTTTCACCTGCCTGGTGAGCTGCATCCCTAGGTATCTTGTTCATTTTGTGGCTGTTGTGAATGGAACTGTGTCCTTGATTTGACTCTCAGCTTGGATGTTGTTGGCATATAGAAATGTTACTGACTTTTGTACATTGATTTTGTATCCTGAAATTTTGCTAAAATTGTTTCTTCAATCCAGGAGCCTCTGGGCAGAACCTCCGGGGTTTTCCAGTTATAGAATCACATTGTTTGTAAAGAGGATAGTATGGCTTCCTCTCTTCTTATTCAGATGCCTTTTTTATTTGTTTCTCTTGATTGATTGCCCTGGCTAAGGCTCCAGAGCTATGTTGAATAGGAGTGACGAGAGTGGGCATCCTTGTCTTGTTCTGGTTCTCAGGAGGAATGCTTCCAGCTTTTGTCCTCTCATTATGTTGTCTGTGCGTCTGCCATAGATGACTTTTGTTATTTTGAGGTATGTTCCTTCAGTGCCTAGTTTGTTGAGGGTTTAACATGAAGAGATGTTGAATTTTATGGAAAGCCTTTTCTGCATCTATTGAGATAATCATGTAGGTTTTGGTTTTAGTTCTGTTTATATGCTGAATCACATCACATTTATTGATTTGTGTATACTGTGTATAAGTCTATTTGTAGGTCTCTAAGAATTTGTTTTATGAATTCAGGTGCTCCAGTATTGGATGCATATATAATTAGGATAGTTATAGATTCTTGTTGAGTTGTACCCTTTATTATCTAATGCGCTTCTTTGTCCTTTTTGATCATTGCTGGCTCAAAATCTGTTTTGTCTGAAATTAGACTAGCAACACTTGCTCCCTATTGTTTTCTATTTGATAGATCTTTCTCCACCCCTTTACTTTGTATTTGATAGCTTTTGCCAGTTTTTATGGAGAAGCAGAATTCCCAAGGCACTTATCATGTGAAGCGCCCCCTTATACTGCTTTTTATACTATTAATTTTGTGTATCTTAATCAATATATGATTTACATATTATAAGTCCATCAATATTATTTCATATAGCCTATATTCATTTAAATTAATTTGTACATTTATCTGTCAGCTTTTCATTCAATAATGCATTCCTTATTTCTATCTAGGATTGTTTTCCTTCCGGTTGTAGACATCTCTTTTGTAGAAGCCTGCTGATGACAAATTTTCTTGGTTTCATTTGTTTGAAAAAGTCTTTGTCTTAAGTTTTGAAGAATATTTTTACCAGGTATAGAATTCTAGTTTTGATTTTTTTTTCTCTGATACATTGTGCCTGGAACTACGCAAAGGATTTGAGGGTCTGGATGATGTTATCTCCTCCCTAAGAAGATAAACGTTGACTTCTGGCCAGCAAAATGTCTCCCAGCAAAACATCTTAAATATGGAGTGAACTGATTAAAGTTGTGCTTTGAGGTTTTCTATTCCTGTGAGCCAAAACTCTGCACTCTTAACTTCTCACCCGCTCATGCTGCTGAGCATCTTAAGGTGCTGAGTACCTCTCCGCCAAGACACATTCTTGTGTCTCTTTTCTAGTCCTGCTGATGCTTTTTAAAAAGGCACTCTCCAAGGTTCCACAGTCATTCTCTTCTCTTACAGTTCAGTCGTGACGTTACCCATTTGACATTAATAATTTCCTATAGTCTCTCTCTCATGTTCCCCTTAGATTTCCCTTTCCCTTTTCCCCTTGCTTCCCTTCCCTTTCTTTCCCTTTGTTTCCCCTTGTTTCCTTTCCTATCCTTCTTGTCTTTCCTATCAGTTCTCTTGTAAATCACATCCTTTGTCCCATTCCAACCAAATATCATGTTGAAATTTGATCTCCAGTGTGGCAGTGCTGGGAGGTGAAGCAGGAGATATTTGGGTCATGGGCGCTGATTATCTATGAATGGCTTGTGCTTTTCTAGCAGTAGTGAGTTCCCACTCTCAGGAGACTGGATTGATTCTTGTGGGGAAGGGATTAGTGGGTCGTTATGAAGCAAGGAAGCCTCTTAGGCTTGGTCCTTCTTCCCATGTGCCCATTTCCCCTTTGGCCTTTTCTGCTATGTTTTGATGTAGCACAAATTCCTCACCAGAAACTGAGCAGATGCGGGCACCATGCTTCTTGTGCAGTCTGCAGACCATGAGCTAAATAAACCTGTTTCATTTATATATTATTCAGTCTCAGGTATTCCTTTAGAGCAACACAAAATGGATGAAGACAACTCCCAAGCCGTTGCTCTTAGACACTAAGATTTTATATAATAAAATAATCATTTATTATTTCCCCATGTTGGGTGTAGCCATCGCTTTGCTTGATGAAATTCTATGCAATGCTTTACAGCCAACTCAAAAATTACCTTTCCCATAATGCCTTTTTTTTCCCTTTCTGGATATGAAGCCTCTCTCTTCAGTTCCCATAGAATACTTTGTATCTTCTTTCGGGTCCTTACTTTGTTTTAAATGACACAGTTTTTTAAATCTAAATTTAAAGATCTTTGCATCCCCTGTTACTTGCATAAAATATTTCTCATATCTTGTATGCAAAATAGCTATAAAATTGCATTTTAACATGCCTTCGAAAGTAATATTTCATAGGGCATACAAATAATGCTATAAATATAGTTTATACATTTATGAGGCAGGGTATGCAGCCACTACATTCTTATAAAAGTGTAACTATATATATAAAGAAAAGTCTTAAAAATAGCCATGATGATCTATACTCTTACCCCAAACTTTATTATTCCACAAACTGCACTACTCTTACCGTCGTGCCACTAATAAAATGTCTAAATATTTTTTTAGTTACCTAAAGAAAACCCAATCTATATATACTCCCTCTTTTAATCTTATGATTATAGAATTAACTGTTTTAAATTATTTTACAGTGAATGAGAAAATTAGTTCATAAAGTGAAAACAATTATAAGTAAATAATTATTTCAATTAAAACAAAGTTCACAGAACTTGTATATTTCTAATGAGATCATTAATAATGCTTATACTTTTAAAATTTAATTTTATTGTTTACTTAAAACTCATCTTATTCTCAAAAACACATGAAATACAGTACAATATAATAAACTAAAAGATACACTCACACAAATATATATATATTTATATATAAATAAAGATAATACCAAGAGAAAAGAGTTGAGGCACTAAATGGAATCAAGGATAAAAGTAGATCACAAAAGGCATTATAGAAATTTCACAGACTTACTAACAACATATGAAAAATTTGGTTCTAAGCTTTCTATGAGCCAATCTGAGGAAGAAAACATAATTAGTAATAATCATGAGAGCCTTATGAAAACACAAAAACAAACTGATTCTTCACTAAAATTACATCATGTGCTCATAAAAGACTGCAAACTAATTTCTCACAAATGTCTTTTCAAAGAGAACAAGTATAACATAATTAACAATTGCTTCAATCACATTTGTACAATGCATAATGAAGGACTTCCAACAGACTATTTTATATAACAAATACTCATATATGTCAATTCAATAAATCAATACATGAATAGCCAATAAGATATTTAAATGTGTCCTTCATAAACCAGTCCCAACTTATCTTGAAATGATAGTGCAGTTCTTTATAGTAAGCATATGCCTTAAATCCATTTCCTTTTAACACTTAAGTGCTGAGGAAAAGTTGATAAAACCTCCAGAAAATATTTTGATATATAACAATTATTTAAGAATAATTTATCATTCCTGAAATTTTCCCCACAAAATGATGAAGACAGCAATATTTTTCCAAACTGGAAAAATCATGCCAAAGCCTGCTTGCTCCTCTTATAAAACACATAGCTAGGAAAGTCAGACTATCAACTTGCCAAATAAGAAACTGTCAGCCAAAAAAATAATATTAATAAATAAAAACACTAGAATGTAAAGGACTGTAATTCTGGCAGAGGAAATAATTACATTTGAGGAAAAAGTGTAACAAAAGTACAGTCAGGTGAGCACATATCCAAAAAGGTAACAGGTGAAAAAGTTATGAAGAAACTATATTTTGGAGCATGAAATATTCCCTGGAACTGTGTTTAAAGTTATCTGCCTAGTATAGATGGCTGTTTCCCAAGAGTTGGCGGCCCACCCTTGCAGTGCTTTATAAAATACAACCATGTCCACCATCAAGATTCTGATTTCATTGAATGAAACAGGGCCTGGGTATCAGTATGTTTCAACACTGCCTCCAAGTAATTCCACTGTGCTGCCAATTTCAAGAACCAGATCTTGACTAAGTGGTCCTCAAAGTGAGGTTCCCACATCTGTAGCATCAGCATCACCTGGGAATTTGTTTAAAATGTAAATTCTTAGGGTCTACCCCAGACCTACTAAATCAGAAACTCTGGAATGAGCCCAAGATTCCTGTGTTTTAACAAATCTCCAGGCAATTCTGATGTGCTTGAGAATACAGCACAGGTGGAATGTGCTTTGCTAGGTACTAGGGCTACAGTGTTGAACAAAATAGCCTCCTTTCTACCTTCCTGGAGCTTGAGGTCTAGGAGACACATGAAAGATCCTTCCTTTGCAAAACTATTCTTTCTGTCTGGTTTATGCCAATAAAACCTGTTCAATTACTTCAATTAATTTTTTAACTTCCAGCTTTTTTCTCTCAAACCTGTCTACATACAAATATCACAATAAATATTTAATAAACATCTATTATCTTCTGACTGCACACTTCAAACCAAGCCAAGGGCACAAACAGGACACACACACACACACACACACACCCAAAACATACTTGGGCAAGGCATAAAAAATGGTGAACTTCATTAGTACCAAAGACATAAAAATATATATACAATTGGATACTATTTTAACTTGTCAAATTAGAAAATATGAAAAAATACTTACATATTCAGTGTTGGCAAGCACATAGAAAGACAGACATCTCATAAACTGATTGCAAAAGTGGTACATTTTTGAGGAGTAATTGAGACTTATCAAATGTCTAAATTACGAATAATAATTTGTAATAATTTATAATAATAATAATTAACACAAAATTCTACTGTGTATGGTTTCATTTTCCTTTCAGTACATGATGTGACATGTGGCAAAGCTATACATTGTTCAACGAAGATTGATTAAAATTGTTTATCACCAAAAGCAACTAATAACAGTGATGACTTGAATTAGTAAATTTTGGTACATTCACTTAATGGAATACTCTTGACTCATAAAAATATTAATAAATAGATGATTACAGATTGCAAACAAAATTAAAACCATAGTCAAAAACAGTATGGTCAATATAAATGCATATTTATTAAAAATATATATGCTTATATGCATAATGTCCATATCATGATAGTAGGATTATGGTTAATGTATTGTCTTTCTTATCTATATCTAAACACTTTTCTAAAATAAAACTGTATTTTTCTTTCCATAGTGAAAAAAAGAAATTTTGTAGCAATAAAAAAGCTAAGAAATTCTTAACAGTGTATGGTTTTTACCCATTGTATTATTTTAGTTAACTTATATTATCCAACAAAATCCAAAGATAGAGAATGCCTTGGGTATCTTTAAAGACAGACATACAACCAAGCACACAGTCCTGACAGGTCGTTACCTGAGTGGACCACTCTTTCAGTAAGTAAAACTTTCTGCTGGGTTTTATACATCTACTTACAGTTTTCTGTTCTCACAGAGTAGGGCTCAGGAAACATATGACTAATGTTAAGGATAAATGGTATGCCTAGTCAATACAATCTATGAATCTTTTAGGCAATAAAAATGTTTGATTTGAGTAATTGATATATCTGCATAAATCACTATGTCACAAGAGCATACTGATGTCATAAAAATGATTCATATTTCATATGGCATATTCATTTGTTCAAGTTCTTGCCTCACTACAGGGAATCAAGTCTAATTTACCTTCACTTAGTTTGGGAAACGTTTTTCCTACAAATTTTGGGGGCAATTATAACAATTCTTCACAGGAGTTAGAATGTAAGTACAATTATTTCTTTTTAATGTGGTTAAAGGAAAAGCATATTTAAAGATTATATAATGAAAATGAATTTTTAATTTTTGAATGCAATTGTAAACGAGATATAAAAGTTATTATTTTATTATTAGTCAAAAATGCTGTGATCTTTGGTAACATAATTTTATAGACCTTTTTATGACTACCTTCTTAAAACTTTACCTTGTACAGCAAGTATGCTACCTAACCACTCACTCTCTGTGTCATTTTAGATATGGTTCGTATATTTTCAGCACAAATTTCTCTTAAATCCCATGTACCTCAAGCGACTGCATTTCGTTTTTTTGTAAACATTTAGGTTCAGGGGTACATGTGCAGGTTTGTCACATAGGTAAAATTCATGTAACGGGGATTTGTTGTAAAGATTATTTCATCCTCCAGGTAATAACGCTGGTACCCAAGTTATTTTTTCTGGTTCTCTTCCTCCTCCCACCCTCCACCCTCAAATAGGTCACAGTGTTTGTTGTTCCCTTCTTTGCGTCCAAGAGTTCTTATCATTTAGCTCCCACTTATAAGTGAGAGCATACAGTATTTGGTTTTCTGTTCCTGCATTATAGTTCGCTAAATATGATGGCCTTCAAATCCATCCATGTTCCCACAAAAGACATGATCTCGTTCTTTTCTAGTTAATTTTTAAAAATTATCCAGATAAAATATCTTTGAATAAAATCAAAATTAAAGTGATTTAATTTACTTGCGCACAACAAATTACTGATATATATGAAAATGCAAATAATAGATCCTTAACTCAAGGACAATCTAAAATAAGGACATTGTTTTGTGTGTTTAGAGGGATAATTGTGCTTTATATTCAGTCCTATGGCAATACTGCCAGAATGCTGCTTGACAACAAGTATCAAAACAGTTAAAAGAAAATAACTACATACTTGCATTTGGTGTCTTGGCAAAAAAATATATGTATATATAACTACAGTTGATTTAAATTTCAGCTGTTTGCACCACTTGCTTTTTATTGCACTAAAACTGTTTCTAAGGACTGGTATTTAACCATTATTTTAGTTAAAAGTCTTGATCTGTTAGAAATTATGCTGGGAGAATGTTATGGCTTCTAAACTGGCCTATAAAATATTGGCTTATCTTCTTACCAGAGAAGGCAATAATTCTGGTATTTACTGTCTAAGGGACTAAAGCTTTGAAAATTATTATCGTTACAGAAAAAAATTATAATATTTTCTCTTCACTGAAGCTTTTATCCACATTCATATCCAGCACTAGATATAGAAGGATACACAGAGTTAGTGTCACAGGGACATAGTTTGCATTTTTTTTTTTTTTTTTTTTTTTGAGGCAGAGTCTCGCTCTGTTGCCCAGGCTGGAGTGCAATGGCGTGATCTCGGCTCACTGCAAGCTCCGCCTCCCAGGTTCACACCATTCTCCTGCCTCAGCCTCCCGAGTAGCTGGGACTACAGGCGCCCGCCACCATGCCCGGCTAATTTTTTTGTATTTTTAGTAGAGACGGGGTTTCACCGTGTTAGCCAGGGTGGTCTCGATCTCCTGACCTCGTGATCCGCCCGCCTCAGCCTCCCAAAGTGATGGGATTACAGGCGTGAACCACCCCGCCCGGCCTGCATTATTTATGTGGCTTTTAGTTTATCATGATGTCAAATCTGCACAAATGTATAATACAGATAGGAAAGCAGGTGCATGAGCAGCAGTGGGGACCATAACTCATTTCCAACTGAAAGATAACGATCAGTGTTTTTTTTTAAATCTGGGTACTTCTACTTTTCAAGATAGTGTATATTCAAACAAATAGCTTCTCAACCACCTGTAAGCAAGTTCTAACATTTTAAGCAAATCCACAACATTTTAAAATATCCATCACTTCCAGGTAATCATGAGATTGGTATGTGTGTTTTTGTTTTGATCCAACAGAAAGACAAAGGTAATTTTGATTAGACCGAGAAGAGATCATGTATGCAAAAACGACAGAAAAAAACATTGTGTATTGTACAATAAATGAAGCAAGCCAAAGGGGGCCTTGAAATGATGTTTTTTAGACTGACTCAGGGTAGAGTTTTCCCTCAAAACTATTTTACAATTATAATAGTTCCTTTAGGACACACAAATTTGATTTTTTTTTTTTTTTTTTTTTTGAGACGGTCTTGCTCTGTCATCCAGGCTGGAGTGCAGTGGCACCATCTCGGCTTACTGCAAACTCCGCCTTCCAGGTTGTAGCTATTCTGACTCAGCCTCCTGAGTAACTGGGATTACAGGCACGCACCACCACGTATGACTAATTTTTTGCATTTTTAATAGAGATGGGGTTTCACCAAGTTGACCAAGCTGGTCTTGACCTCCTGACATCAAGTGATCCACCCGCCTCAGCCTCCCAAAGTGCTGGGATTACAGGTTGAAGCACTGCACCTGGCCCACAAATTTTATTTTTTTTAATGGAAGGACCTTAGAGCAATTTTTCTTTCTTATTTTGTTTTTTTAAATTAGTTATTACATTTAGAGAAAAATGAATCTTCTCTGATCAAAATTGGAATTAGGTGAGAAAGCGACCCTCTTTTAGCAATATCTTCCCCACTTCTTGCCTTGAAAGCCCCTAACAGTGAGATTCTAGAAGCATCTAGAATTTGTAAAAATACAAATTCCCAACTCCATTCCATGAATTTTTTTTTCTTTTTAGAGATAAAGTGTCATTCTGTCACCCAGGCTGGAGTGCAATGGCATGATCGTAGTGTACTACAACCTCAATTTCCTGGGCTCAAGTGATCCAACCACCTTTCCCCTCTCAATGGGATTACAGGTTTGAGTGACTGCACCTGGCCTCATTCCCAGAGATTTTAATCCAAGGTTTTAGAACCTGCATTTAAAAATGTATAAGCAAATTTATATATAAATTTTCAGTGGTCTTTAATCTCCATTTTGAGAATTTCCCCCAAGGGTTCTATGAGCAGAGTTAGAAACCAATGACCTAGAATACACATAGGTATTCTACCAGACATCATTTCACATGAATGAAGTGTGAGGAACTTTATTTTGCTTAAGGGAATAATTTTATACTAAAAAAAGTGTTAATATTAAACATTATTTAACCAATAGATTGGCATTTAGTGAAATAAAATGTATTTGAGGACCAAGAACTTAAAACTTTGCTCTCTAGATTCCAGCAATAAAAATGAATTGGATCAAATAAAGGCTTTTCTTATGAGATAAAAATGATCATAAAACTTACGGTGCTTGGCTATGAGCCAGTTTACATACTATAGAAACACTGCCTGGGCTAAGAGACTTGACCAATTAAACTAATTGTGTAGGTCAGAGTACAGGACTCTGAGATCATATAAAATCACAAACTGAGAGGAATCATTACACAAGACCTGCAAATATACAGTATTCTAAGTATATTTAAATGTGAACTATAAGGCTCAGATTCTAGGTGATCCAAGTATCTTGATTCAATGATAAGCAAATAATAATTTTTTAAAAAATTTCTCAGCTGAAGAGAACTCACAATTTTGCCAACTGCCTTAGTAGTTGTTGGAGCATGAATGGGTACAAACTCATTTTATTTAATACTAGATTATGATTCTTTTCTCAAAATACTAGGAAAAATACTTTTCTACTAAATATTCTCCTTCCCTACATAATTTAAAGGAAATGGAAATCTTATTCAACCCCAATCTCAAAAAAACATGTAAATTGCAACTGATGATATTGTCATTGAATGATTTTTACTTTATCTTTCCATTGCATTATAGTTGAGAGCAATATTTCCATATACCTTGATTACAACCCTAGAAAAATCACACCAGGTAACCTCAGTTGAGCCCTGCTGAGCAGGAGAAAGGGAGAATCCACTCACCGAACTCTGTGCTGAAAATGCCTCCATCTACAAGAAGAGATGCGTTTTTCTAATTCATGTAAAAATTAATAAACTAGCTGTATGGAATGGTGTTACTCTCCCACAAACATATAAAAAATAAAGATGCAATCTTAAATTTATATCACAGAGTTCACTTCTGATGTACCAAGGATAGTCCATTAAATTGTGGATGCAAAAAAAAGTAGAATATCAGGTAGTCATGTCATTTTCATGGTAAAAAATATGCATTTTAAGACCTTGCCTAAGACTCAACTACACAGTGAAAATTTCCCTACATATTCCTACCATACTGTGGCTTCTTTAGACTTTTTATTGTTTCATTAAGTGCATAAAGCGAGAGAATATTTTGAAATATATTATTGTGGGTTTTTTTCTCTTATACTTGCTTATAAATAATCCTTACTTTACTGAGCCAGAAGCAATCTTTGTCTCCAAGACAGCCGGGATCAGAGAAAGAGACAAGAAAGAATTGACAGAAAGCCTTCCAATTTTTAAAACTAATCTTGAGAACTATTTCCAAAACAACATCCTTAAAAACCTGGCTTTAAATTTCTATAGCAAGATGCCTGAGAGAGAAAAGCCAATTTAAAATTAGAAAAGTTTTCCTTCAAACACAAAAAACAAAATTTGGAAAACTGAACTTAGAATCTTACTATGAGCTATAGAGTAGGATATCTGATGCATAAGAACTGTTTTTTAAGAAAAGAAATAATCTCAAGCCTTCCTTGGCTGAGGAATGAGCCTAGAGAGAAAAGAAGAAAAGGAGAGGAGATATAAGGTTAGAGGCTGTTCCCTTCTCCACGATTTATTGTCATGTAGAGCACATATGTTAAATATTATCTGACCATTAAGCATTCCGATTTAAAAGTTAATTTTGTGTTCTGTAGCCTATAATTATAAAACACAAATATATTGATGCTAATTAGCAACTAATTCATTCAACAAATAATTATTGAGGCCTATTATGCACCAGACACTTGAAAATAATGCAACACATTGGGAAATCACAGCTCCTGGGATTCCTTAGGAAATTTCCAGTCTATTGAAAGTGGTAGGGTGAGAGGAAATACGGAAATACAAATTATTGCTTTTGACACATTGCTACTTCTACCTTTACCACTTATATGTGAAATTCTAGTCCACCTTTTCTTAATGGACTTATAGATTATTCATAAGATGTAGTTTATTGATATAAGCCACAAAAACTTTCTGTAAGTGTCCTTTGCTTTTTTTGTGAGTCAGAAGCAGCCCAAGGAAAAAAATTAAAGAAAAAAATTTTGAATAAAAAACTTTAAAAATTAAAACATATTAAATAAAAAACTGGAGCCATCTTAATAGAACAAAAACAATGACAAAAGAGAGATCCAAAAGCAGGGAGGGGGGAAATCAGCCTGAAGAAAATAACTGGATGTTAAAGATATTGTGAATCTCTTTAGTATAAGGCCCATCTGCAGAAGGAGGTCCCACACAGAGCAGCAGAGACACCATTAGTTTTCTTTGAAGCAGCAGCTACAGAGTCTGGGGGTTGTGAAGTTTTAACTGTGGAGAGGGCTGTAAGGGCATAAAGATTTTGAAAAGATTCTTTAATATAAGAGCATCTGCAATAACATTTCCCTGGAATCATCAGAATGAGAGGAGGAAGGATGGGATCTCGCAGGACTTGGGCACACAACAGAACTGTGGACTACAAAACAGGGGAAAGATACTAGTTACGGAACCTCAGAAAAAGAGAAGATACCAAAATAAATAACAAAGAACAAAATGAGGTCAGAAAATCCCTACTTAAAATAATTATTACCATGTATATGTGAGGAGCAAATGAACAAGGAAAAATGTAAAGAAAATGACACATGAAAAAGAAGCCAGAGAAGGATGAATACTTTGCTGGGAAGGGTAGCAGGAGGCTGGGAGGGAGGTGGGGATGATTAATGGATATAAAAAATAGAAAGAATGAATAGGACCTATTTAATAACACAACAGGGTTGTTATCATCGATAATAATGGTACATTTTAAAATAAAGAGAGTAACTGGATTGTTTGTAACTCAAAGGATAAATGCTTAGGGGATGGGTACCCTGCTCTCCATGATGTGATTATTATACATTGCATGCCTGTATCAAAACACCTTATGCAGTCCATAAATATATACACCTACCATGTACCCACAAAAATTAAAACTAGAGGTTTCAGTGAGCTGAGATTGAGCCACTGCACTCCAGCCTGTGTGGCAGAGTGAGACTCCAAAAAAGAAAAATAATTAAAACTAATAAAAAAAAGACACGGCCTTGAAAGATGGGTACTTGAAAAAACCCATTAAATTACTTTGCATGTCATGTTGCTTAATTTTTTTAAATTCATAAATTCATCTGAGTCAGTACCAACACATTCTTTCTCCCTGCTTGTTTACAGCAAGGAATATCCTTCTTCCAAGGTAAAATTAATAATTCCACCTATGTCTTAGATTCTGCTCCCTATAAACAAGTCCTAATAAAAAACAAGCTGAACAACTATATAACTATACACAGTCATGTGTCACTTAATGACGGGAATGAGTTCTGAGAAATGCATTGTTAGGTGAGTTGTCTTCACCTCAACATCATAGAACACAGTTACACAAAACTATATGGTATAGTTTTTAAATTTATGTATGCAATTTTATATGAAAAATCAAATATCCCAGCACCATTACCAAATATCAATCATTTTCCCTACTTGGTGTGTGGGAATGCAAATTGATTTTGCAACTGATATTGAGGAAAAGAACATTAAGATCATAAAACATCTACAGAAAAAAAGATAAGAAAACTATTAATTTTCACATAAAAATATAAACAAAGGAAACAATCATCATGCAATATCTAGCTCAGAAATTTAAAGAATCAGAATACTGCTAAGCTAATAACTTAAACAGAACTGTGTATAAATATACACAGTCGGAACGATGGGAGGGAGAGAAATAGGAATTTGGGGAGAGAAATAGAGGTTTTATTCCTCTTAATAGGATGTCAATAGAGGAAGCCAAAATTTTTGAATCAAGAAACGACTATATATTCTTTTATAAATATGGACTAGCACCTATAACCAATCCCTAATAAAAGTGAGAAAAGTATAGAGGAATGATCTTAGGACATAATAGGATATCTCCAGGGAATTGGATTGATATTACTGAAGGAATGACAGCTGTCATTATGACTGTCAATTCTCTTTGACACTTTTAGACTAGATGCATGCAGTCACTGTGATAAAAATTTGTTACATGTGGTACATAAAGATGAAAGAGGTAGACATAAAAAGTTGGTATGTATTACATTTATTGATTTGCGTATATTGAACCAGCCTTGCATCCCAGGGATGAAGCCCACTTGATCATGGTGGATAAGCTTTTTGATGTGCTGCTGGATTCGGTTTGCCAGTATTTTATTGAGGATTTTTGCATCAATGTTCATCAAGGATATTGGTCTAAAATTCTCTTTTTTGGTTGTGTCTCTGCCCGGCTTTGGTATCAGAATGATGCTGGCCTCATAAAATGAGTTAGGGAGGATTCCCTCCTTTTCTATTGATTGGAATAGTTTCAGAAGGAATGGTACCAGTTCCTCCTTGTACCTCTGGTAGAATTCGGCTGTGAATCCATCTGGTCCTGGACTCTTTTTGGTTGGTAAACTATTGATTATTGTCACAATTTCAGCTCCTGTTATTGGTCTATTCAGAGATTCAACTTCTTCCTGGTTTAGTCTTGGGAGAGTGTATGTGTCGAGGAATGTATCCATTTCTTCTAGATTTTCTAGTTTATTTGTGTAGCATATAAACAGAGCCAAAGACAAAAACCACATGATTATCTCAATAGATGCAGAAAAAGCCTTTGACAAAATTCAACAACCTTCATGCTAAAACCTCTCAATAAATTAGGTATTGATGGGACGTATTTCAAAATAATAAGAGCTATCTATGACAAACCCACAGCCAATATCATACTGAATGGGCAAAAACTGGAAGCATTCCCTTTGAAAACTGGCACAAGACAGGGATGCCCTCTCTCACTGCTCCTATTCAACATAGTGTTGGAAGTTCTGGCCAGGGCAATCAGGCAGGAGAAGGAAATAAAAGGTATTCAATTAGGAAAAGAGGAAGTCAAATTGTCCCTGTTTGCAGATGACATGATTGTTTATCTAGAAAACCCCATCGTCTCAGCCCAAAATCTCCTTAAGCTGATAAGCAACTTCAGCAAAGTCTCAGGATACAAAATCAATGTACAAAAATCACAAGCATTCTTATACACCAACAACAGACAAACAGAGAGCCAAATCACGAGTGAACTCCCATTCACAATTGCTTCAAAGAGAATAAAATACCTAGGAATCCAACTTACAAGGGATGTGAAGGACCTCTTCAAGGAGAACTACAAACCACTGCTCAAGGAAATAAAAGAGGATACAAACAAATGGAAGAACATTCCATGCTCATGGGTAGGAAGAATCAATATTGTGAAAATGGCCATACTGCCCAAGGTAATTTACAGATTCAATGCCATCCCCATCAAGCTACCAATGACTTTCTTCACAGAATTGGAAAAAACTACTTTAAAGTTCATATGGAACCAAAAAAGAGCCCGCATCGCCAAGTCAATCCTGAGCCAAAAGAACAAAGCTGGAGGCATCACACTACCTGACTTCAAACTATACTACAAGGCTACAGTAACCAAAACAGCACGGTACTGGTACCAAAACAGAGATATAGACCAATGGAACAGAACAGAGCCCTCAGAAATAACGCCGCATATCTACAACTATGTGATCTTTGACGAACCTGAGAAAAACAAGCAATGGGGAAAGGATTCCCTAGTTAATAAATGGTGCTGGGAAAACTGGCTAGCCATATGTAGAAAGCTGAAACTGGATCCCTTCCTTATACCTTATACAAAAATCAATTCAAGATGGATTAAAGATTTAAACGTTAGACCTAAAACCATAAAAACCCTAGAAGAAAACCTAGGCATTACCATTCAGGATATAGGCGTGGGCAAGGACTTCATGTCCAAAACACCAAAAGCAATGGCAACAAAAGCCAAAATTGACAAATGGGATCTAATTAAACTAAAGAGCTTCTGCACAGCAAAAGAAACTACCATCAGAGTGAACAGGAAACCTACAAAATGGGAGAAAATTTTCGCAACCTACTCATCTGACAAAGGGCTAATATCCAGAATCTACAATGAACTCAAACAAATTTACAAGAAAAAAACAAACAACCCCAACAAAAAGTGGGCGAAGGACATGAACAGACACTTCTCAAAAGAAGACATTTATGCAGCCAAAAAACACATGAAAAAATGCTCATCATCACTGGCCATCAGAGAAATGCAAATCAAAACCACTATGAGATATCATCTCACACCAGTTAGAATGGCAATCATTAAAAAGTCAGGAAACAACAGGTGCTCGAGAGGATGTGGAGAAATAGGAACACTTTTACACTGTTGGTGGGACTGTAAACTAGTTCAACCATTGTGGAAGTCAGTGTGGCGATTCCTCAGGGATCTAGAACTAGAAATACCATTTGACCCAGCCATCCCATTACTGGGTATATACCCAAATGACTATAAATCATGCTGCTATAAAGACACATGCACACGTATGTTTATTGCGGCATTATTCACAATAGCAAAGACTTGGAACCAACCCAAATGTCCAACAATGATAGACTGGATTAAGAAAATGTGGCACATATACACCATGGAATACTACGCAGCCATCAAAAATGATGAGTTCATGTCCTTTGTAGGGACATGGATGAAACTGGAAACCATCATTCTCAGTAAACTATCGCAAGAACAAAAAACCAAACACCGCATATTCTCACTCATAGGTGGGAATTGAACAATGAGATCACATGGACACAGGAAGGGGAACATCACACTCTGGGGACTGTGGTGGGGTGGGGGGAGGGGGGAGGGATAGCATTGGGAGATATACCTAATGCTAGATGACGAGTTAGTGGGTGCAGCGCACCAGCGTGGCACATGTATACATATGTAACGAACCTGCACAATGTGCACATGTACCCTAAAACTTAAAGTATAATGAAAAAAAAAAAAAGTTGGTATGTAAAATACAAACATGCTTACAACACTAGAAAATATTCATGCATTTCACAAAAGTGAAAAAAGTTCAAAATGGACAAAAGCCTTAATAGTCAATAAAGAAAAATATTACATTTGTTATGTAGTCTGCTCTTCTTATCCCACCCCAGCCATGCTGGTCTTCCTGTATGGTCCTGGCTCAGGGCCTTTCCCTTTGTGTTCCATTCAGAAAGAAATGCTCCATCACTAACAAACCCTTTCCTTGTTTCCCTTCTGCTGTGTAGCAGTTAACACCATCTGCAGCGCTTTCTATTTATTGACTTGCTGCCTGTCTCCCTAATGAGAGCAAGGATCATCTGTTTCAGTCACTCGTTTATTTCTAGTGCCTACCGCAGCGTTCTCACACAGTAGGCACTCTATTTCTTCTTTGAAGCAACTTTATAATATTGAGATAACGTGAAATTAACTGGGAAATCCACTAGTTGAGAAAGTTGAGAACAGATTAGTAAATTGTTGAAAGTCATTACAGTGAAATGCAAATAATGATGAATATTTAATGGCATGATTTATTGAGAAGTGGAAAAATCTTTTCACCTATGTTGAAAATCTGCACATTTACCTGTGTTCATACATGTATGACAAATACACATCGGAGTGAGAAAAAGTAGGAAGACAGAAAGGGGAAAGGGGAGGGGAAAAAAGGGAGGCTGAAGAAGAGGAAATGGGAGGAGGAGGTGGTGGAAGAGATGGAAAAGGGAAGGAGAAAAGACATTTGGGGAGGCAAGACATCCATAGATCATTTTAAAAACAATATACTAACAGGGCTTTTCAAAGAGTGATAATATTAAATTATTTTGTTCACTTATTCATGTTCTTCTCCGGTTTCTATGAAATTCACAAGAGCATTCATTGCTTTTTTAATTGATAATTTTTCCATTTTGTATGAAAGAAAACAGCCTCCTTTTCAACTTAACATTTGTCTTTACAGTAGCATTGGCCTAGGATAAGGTGGTGGGGGCAGAAATTTGGGAGATGCTTAATAAATATTTCCCAAGAGAGATATTCAAAATACATGGTCACTTACTGTGTATGATCCACTGATGGCCTGTGGTTTTCTTCCCCATGATGAATGCTGATCCCGTTCCCAAGCCCCCACCTGAATGTGTTTGAATCTTGAAGCAAATGTACTGGGATTGGTTGATACCATTTACACAGGCTTCTTTTCTCAAAGCTGCAAACTTCCATAACTTGGATGGGGTAGAACAAAGAAAAGGTGAGCTAGTAAGTGGCAGTTTCTATCTGTACAATCTTAATCAGCACTTTCTTACTCTTGTTTTTAATTCTAATGTAACTTTTAAACATTATTAAAATAATTAGGCAAATGGTTTGTAAAATCACTGGAAGAGTTTCAAAGAAATCTAGGTTTATTCTAGTCAAATATTTATAGGAAAAAATATAGGAAAAAATACATATACTAATGATCTGGTTTCATGAGGAGGTGAGATTTTAATTAGCTTCTAAAGCAGCAATTTAAGCACTTCCATTAAGCAATTTCATTGCTTGCATGATCTCCAAGTTCTGACAAGTCTGTTCTTTTCTCAGTCTCTGAAGGGGTTATTGCTAATTCCCAACTTCAGTTTAAGCAACGAGGTTTCCAATAACTTTTATATTGGACCTGTTTCCTATAAAGTTTTACAGATTCTTGTAATAATTTTATTCTAATATCACAGGAAATTACAGGTCCAGCGATTTTTTAAAATGTACAGGTTATGTGTAAAACTGTTATCTGAATTCTCTCTCCGAATGTGTTCATGTGTCTAAAATCTTCCACTGCTGAATAAAAAAGAAATATTCATTCAATGAAATTCTTGTGTATACTATAGAAAACCTGGTGTGCACTCTAGCTTTTAAGTGACATTAATAGTGGCAGCATACCACTATGACCATTTAGAAATTTGGGTATATGAGTTAATGTGAAATCTGAAAAGGAAACATTTAAAAAAGTGTTTTCAGTCATGACATTCAGGCGTATTAGTTAATCTAAACAAACATTAATTGTTTATCTTGTGAAGGGATTTAGGATCCAATATATCTCTGTTCTTCATATCATTTAAAATATATAATTTGTAGGCTTTTAATAGAACTATCGGAAAATATAACATGTCAAGCAAGATGAATAGGTTCTAGGGATCTGCTGTACAATATTACAGTAGAGTCAACCATAATGTATTGTACCCTTAGCATTTTGTTAAGATGGTAGATCTCATGTTATGTGTTCATTTTTTTTTTTTTTTTTTTTTTTGGAGACATCGTCTCACTTTGTCATCCAGGCCAGAGTGCATTGGCACGATCTCGGCTCCCCCTCCCAGGCTCAAGCAATTGTCCTGCTTCAGCCTCCTAAGTAGCTGGGATTACAGGCACACGCCACCACACCCAGCTAATTTGTGTATTCTTTTTGTAGAGATGGGGTTTTGCCATGTTGGCCAAGCTGGTCTCAAACTCCTGGGCTCAACTGATCTGCTCACCTTGGCCTCCCAAAGTGCTATGATTACAGGCGTGAGCCACTGCACCTGGCCATGTTATGTGTTTTTATCACAATTTTCAAAATCAGTTAGAAAATCTGTATAGTTTACAAGCAGATTTGTCATACTATTTTATCTTACAAAAGGGTGGAAGAGACAATATCTCAGTTTATTCATAAATAAAATGGTAATAATTCATTTATATTTGTTCAAAATTATAAAAACTATTTGACTAAGAATAACTTAATAGTAGGCACTCATTTAGGACACTTAAAGAATTTATCAAAACTTCCCCTCTAATCATAAACGACATCACTAAAACGGCAAAGTTGAACTTAGAGGAAATTCGGTATTCCCTAAAGATACTCATTTTGTGTAATTAATTAGGTTTTGTATAAACTCTTACAAACACTACAACTTATATAAGATCATAAGGGGATTCGAATGCCTTCCGATGAGCAAGTCTGAACACCACCACACCTTCCATTGTATTATTTTCCATCTGTGATGCATGATATAAATCCCTGGCTAGCTTGAGTTAATTACTGTCTCATCTTATGCATGAAGTGAGTCAGCTTTGATTTTATGACTTTTTTAGTCTAGATTAGATAGTTAATTGGTGGTGTATTTGTACATTAAAAAACATTTTTTTCTAGATTAAAAGAATAAATATGAACCTCACTGGATTTCTTAAGTCCTAGAATTTCTTCACAAGGTTGACATAAAACAAGGGTTTCACTACTCTCTCTGTGTTATCTGTCTGTTCTAAGCCCTTAATATTATCAAGACACTTGAGAAATATGATGGTACAGTCAATTCACAGGCTACTCCATGAAGAACAGGGAAGGGAAAGATATTTCAAAGTGTTTACCCTTCTGATCTTATGCTTTGCTCATTAAGACACAGATTAATTTTTCTCCTCTTAGACTGTATCTTTGGCTGAGAAGCCCATTTTTAAACTAAATAGTTTGTCTTTGATCCATTTAGGAAAAGCCATTGAATTGGCAGGTACCATTGAATTGGCAGGTAAAAACCAGGACACAGGGGATAAAGGTCTCATTTGCATTAAGATAGGTTTTCTCATGAACTCTGCATATTTTAATAGTACTAATGTTGTATGTGCATTTTGGCAATGGCAAAATTTGAATAAATTAATTTGACAGTACTATAAAGCTACCTCCCTAAACATTCCCTATTTTATAGTGTGAGGAGTACAGATCAAAGGGAATGGATGGAAAGAGCTACTAAATGCTACTCCCAGAGTCAAGTAAAGTTTGTGAAAACGATAGTTTTGAATCCAAAACGTTAATCTAAAGACACTTACCACTTACGGGGCCTGGCAGAAAATGCATTCTGATTCTTCCATTACAATTTTCTGTATGAATAACTGTTACATTTAGAAGTTGCTCTAACTCATGTTGAATATATCTAACTATGATGCTAGGCTGTGCTACTTAGAGATTACACTTGCATTTTCTATTTTGTAGCAGTATTTAAACAAATTTTAAGAATCCACCTACCACAGGATGCTTCATCTGATTTGTCAGGGCAGTCATATTTAAAATCACATTTCTGCATTTTTTCAATGCAGTGACCATCAGACCTGCAGATAAATTCATTGTCTGTGCAGTTGTGTGGAGGTAATGTTACAGGAACTGACGTTTCTGGTGGAGTTGGGAGGTCTGCTGGCAAATTACCTTGATAAGAAATAATATACAGGCATCATTTAGCAGGTTTTCTGGTTTTCTACTGCTTTAGAGATTTTACACAATGAAGCTTTCTAAATATGCCCCACAATATCATAGAGAACAGTGGGTAGTATCAGCTACTCTGCTAAAATAAAATCGAGGTTCTTGTTTTTAGTAACAGTAAATAACTAAACATCTTTGATCATGACAAATGATGATGGTACAGATGGAAATTACTGGAAAGCTATTCAGAGCTCACCAAATCAATGGGAGGCCCAAGGCCAGGGCTTAGAGAATCAGCAGGAACCAAGGGAGTTTCAGATTCTGGAATTAAGAGCCAGAGTAAAGATCTAAATAACTTTCTAATTTACTAGGTAAATAACCTTTGTTCTTCCACTGCTACAATAAATCTAACATCTCCTCATCTTTGTTTAACATATTTTCACTTATTTAAAATTCAAGGTTTCAGGAAAGAGTCAAACCAGAAATCCTCATCTAGAAATTTTGTACAAGATTACAATTTCTGAAATTACTGAGGATGGAAGACATTTATAGATGTTGACTGATTTATTAGTTATTCAATAAACATGTATTGATAACATGTCTGTGCCATACACGTGGTAGATGCAGGGAATCCAAGCTGTGGAGAAAAAGTTAAATATTAAACCTGAACTAAATTGAACATGGACACAAAGAATGATCACCAAGTCCCAGAACGGGTTGTGTGAGCCCCTTCAGGCTTTCATCCAGTGTTGTTTAGAAGAAATCTCTATTTCAATGTATTCCTATATGTTAGTTATTGAAAAACAACAACAATCACAAAAACAAGTCAACCTTTTTGTGTTCCTTGGGCCCAGTCACAAAGGACCCTTGTGACTGGACCTCATGCCAAACAACTCATTACAAAAAGAGCTAGGGTCCCAGGCTGCTCCGAAGCTTCATGAGACCTCTCCTCCTCTGTGCATGGACGACTGGCCAACTCTGGAGCCTAGGCCGCTGCTTCTGGGCCTAGTGGTGAATCCTCCATTGTCTGGTGAGTGCAGTGTCCAACTCTGGAGCCCAGGCTGTTGCTTCCCAGTTTGGTGGTGAATCGTCCATAGTCTGGTGAGTGTAAATATGTATATATTTTTCCCTTCTCCCCTTCCCATTGCAATTTACTTATTATATCATTTGCTTATTATATCAATTTGCTTATGTTAATTTGCTTATTATATCATTTGCTTATTATATCTGCATTGCTATTTATGTGGGATAAAGCTTGTTTACCCTTAAAGGTATTGTGTGTGTGTCTTTCCTTCTCTCCTCGTGCATTTTTTGCACAGAACACAAGTCAAATATGCCATCTCTGCCATTAAATAGTTTACATCTAGTGGGCAAGGCAGTCAGATGTATCTTTCATTACAGGTATTTGGGATAAATTTATGGTAAAGATATAACCCCAGGGAAGCAAGAATGGCATCTTTCATCCCTGCATCCATAGCACAATTCATGGACCATGGCATATGGTAGGTATACTAACATTGACAAGTGAATAAATGGATGGATAGATGGACAGATGGATGGATGGATAGATGGATGGATGGATGGATGGATGGATGGATGGATGGATGGACAGATGAATGAATACCAGAGTGGATGAATGAATAAAATAACAAATGGAAGATTTCACAGTGTATTGAAAGAAAACAGAGGAAAACCATATATCAGATGGGAGTCAAATAAGATGCCGTGGCAAGCTGATGCTTAAACTTTCAAAGGTTGATGAGCTCATCTTGCCAGGTGAAAAAGAATACAAGGTCTTTATGGGCAATGAGAAAAAACTTGTGTGAATGCATGGAAATACATTAAACTGTTTTTTTTATTTTAAATACTGTGAGAATTTAACATGATAATATCTTGTGATATGATAAGCATGTGTCTGATTGACTCATTAGATATGGAACTGGAGAGCAGACAGTTACCATAAAGAGCCAGCTGAAATCAACCTGGGAGTCTGAAATAAACACACAAAAATATGGAGAAATAACAAGATATAAAATGTCTATTTCAAGATGCACTTTTTGGCATCAGTGTGAAGCATGAATTGTAGGTTGCTCTAACATTGGAAAAAAAATAATAGTTAGAATAGTTAACCTCTTTCTTTAATCCAGTCAACTAATAAACCAAAACAGAGATGGTTTAAAGGAAAGAGCAAAAATCTGAGCAATATTAAATGTCCAGTATCTGGAGGACTGGGGATTTACATGCTGTTGGGAATCTGGGGAAAGTCCAATAACTAGTAGTTTATTTCTTAGCTCAAATGCAGAGGCAATTAAGACCTAAGATTGAAGATAGATCAAAATATCAACTTTTTATTGATATAGCTAAAGAAGAAAATTTCCTATTTCTGTAGACAAGTGGTCTTCTAAAATGTGAAACCCAGAAATAAGACCCCGAACTATGTCTTCCAGGCTACCCTGTGTGAAACTATAGCAAGGAGAGTTGACCAGATTTCATATTTCCTCAGCTAGTAAACATTAAAAAGAAAAGAGGAGGTGAGGGACCAGGCATGCATACTCAGATTCTTCTTGAAAACTCACCAATCCATTGTTGCTCTTCCTTCCTCTGGGAAGGAATGAATAAGAGGATGAAGAGAGACCAGGAATATTAGGCTACCAGGTAGAGCTCAGTCTACATGAGAGATTAAGACCAAGGAAATAGTATTCTGATCCCTTAGGGGTGAGTTTGAAATGATTAATAGATTGTTAAGTAAATGAGCATTCTATTCCCCAAGATCAGATATATAAAATATAGAAGAGGAGTCAGTTTTTAGGGATAAGAAATATTTTCTCACCAGGTGTGGTGGCTCACACCTATAATCCCAGCACTTTGGGAGGCTAAGGCAGGTGGATCACTTGAACTCAGGATTTTGAGACTAGCCTGGGCAACATGGTGAAACCTCATCTCTACAAAAATAAAAACTACAGAAATTAGCTGGGCATGGTGGCCCACACCTGTAGTTCCAACTACTTGGGAGGCTAAGGTGGGAAAATCACTTGAGTTGGGGAGGTTGAGGCTGCAGTGAGCCGATATCACACCACTGCACTCTGGTCTGGGTGACAGAGTAAGACCCCACCTTCCCACCCCCCAACCCAAACAAAAAATAAAAAATTAAACAATCAAAATAAAATAAATGTAAAAAGAAATATTTTCTATCCTAAAATAGAAAGCCAATGACAACACCACAAAAAAAAAGGAGATCCTAACAGGTTGGAAACTTTATCTCACATCCAGTTGGATATACTCACGTCTAACTCATTGAACAAACATAAGAACTCAATTAGAGGTCAAAGTTATTACCTTCCATAGAAATCTGACGGATCCAACGTTATAATAAAACGTGAAAAAAAATTAAAAAGGGAATCATTTTATCATTTTTGAATGCTGATGACTTTGAAGATCTTGAAGGACAGAGTCTGAATCAGAGAAAGAAAAATTCGCTAGCCTTGATGAAAAATTATTTTCAAATAAATCTATAATGAGATTATAAAAATCACTTCTGAGGGAATTTGCTGAGGACTGCAAAACATTCAATGGCCAGGTTGATGGATATTTTATATGTCTCAGTGGAATATATGGAACAAATTTCTTTGAAAATCATCCTTTTAAAATGTTTAAATACAAGGTCTTAAAAATAATCTAATTTGATCGCTAAATTTGTTGTGCCATTTCAGAGCATAATTTACTTACATAATTTTACTGAAAATATATATATATATAATTAAAATGCATTAGAAGATGCATGTAAACTTTTTATTTGTATGTCCTATATCAAAAATGGCATCTGGAAAGTGACGTATTTTGTCAAAGTTTCAATGAAAGTTTGCCTTTAACCAAAGCAGGATGTCAAGCTCTTTCACTTCAGCACATGCTCATCCAAGCTGGTCTGTTCCATATTTAGATAATAAAGTTTTAGTTTAAGACAAAGATTTTAATTCCACAGAGATGACTGTCATTTGCACTGAGAAAAATGTTCTATGCTCCAATTTAGGCAGCCATTTTGAAATGCGTTAATTTCAAGAGAGAATGGGTAAATTTGTGTTCCAAGCTCAGGGTAAATACACATTACTAGAACAGTAAAAGTCTTAAAAAACAGTGGATCACACATGTTTTCCTATTCTTCACATTGCTGTATATTATGTATATTTATGGAAATAGACATTTACAATTAATCATCTTACCTTAATACACAGAAACTTCAATAAACAGCTAAATGGAAACACATATATGATGTTCTTCACTGACTGTACTACTTTAAACTTGCTCGATAATACACTTCTAGTCACAAATACCTAGGATTTACTGATTTCTGATTTTATTTATTATTTTATTTTTATTTTTATTTTTTGAGACAGAGTCTCGCTCTGTCGCCCAGGCTGGAGTGCAGTGTCGCGATCTCCACTCACTGCAAGCTCCGCCTCCCGGGTTCACACCATTCTCCTGCCTCAGCCACCTGAGTAGTGGGGACTACAGGCGCCCGCCACCACGCCAGGCTAATTTTTTTGTATTTTTAGTAGAGACGGGGTTTCACTGTGTTAACCAGGATGGTCTTGATCTCCTGACCTCGTGATCTGCCCGCCTTGGCCTCCCAAAGTGCTGGGATTACAGGCGTGAGCCACCGCACCCGGCCGATTTCTGATTTTATTATTCTTCCTTCAAGAGAAGAACATTTCAGGGCAGGACAGAAGCCCAGCGAATTGAGTGTCAATAACTTTGCATTTGAGACAAAGAAGACATCGACTGAACTGCTTCAGATTCAATTACATCTTTTCTTTAAAAAAATGACTTTAATTATGAATAACTTTAAACATTCATATAAATTAAGAAAATTATATAATAGATACATGACTCCACCACTAAGACTAAATAAATTGTTATTATAGCATTGTTTCAGATCCTTATATTAACAAATAAATGAGGAAGAAAGAATAGAAAGAAAGAAAACCTTTCTATAAAGCTCAGACCTCATTCTTCCTCTTTCTACCCCTTCACTAATGCCTTCAGAGGGACCCTTATCCGAATACTAGTTTGTACCAATTTGTATTTTCTCATGTTTGTTTTCTAATTGTTTTTATTGTGGTAAATAGTATTAAGGCTATTCACAAGGTTGTACAACAGATCTTTAGAGCTTTTTTTAATCTCAAAAACCAGAAACTATATCCATTAAACACTTGTTCCCCTTCCTTCCTGCCTCCCCCCAGCTCTCGGCAAGCACCTTTCTACATTTGTTTCTACGATATTGACTACCTTAAATAATTCATATGAGTTGAGTCCTACAATGGTTGTACTTTCCTGACTGGCTTATTTAGCTTAGCATGATGTCCTCGAGGTTAATCCATTGTCTTAGTCAGTTCAGGCTGCTATAACACATTACACACTGAGTGTCTTAAACAGCCATTTATTTATCTTAGTTCTGAAGGCTGGGAAGTGTAAGCTCAAGGTGCCAGCAGAAGTGGTGTCTGGCCCACTTCCTGGTTTGCTGATGGCCATTTTCTCCTTGTATCCTCACATGGTAGAGAATAGGGAGAGAAAAAGCAAGCTCTCTCCTGTCTTTTTATAAAGGCATTGATTCCATCCATGAAAGCTTTACTCTCCTGACCTAATTATCCCACATACAAATACCATCACGTTGGGGGTTGGAATGTCAACATATAAATTTTGGGAAAATACGTTCAGTCCACAGCATCTATGTGGCAGCATGTGATGGGATTTCCTTCCCCCTTAAGGCTGCATGATATTCCATTGTATGTATATACCACATTTTCTTTATCCAATCATCTGTTAATAGACATTTGGGTTATTCTACCTCTTAGCTATTGTGAATAATGTGGCAATGACACAAGGGGAGGCAAAAATCTCAAGATTCTGCTTGAATTATTTTGGATATGTATCTGAAAGTAGCATTGCTACATCATAGGATAATTCTATTTTTAATTTTTTGAGGAATGGTCATACTGCTTTCCATAATGGCTAAACCACTTTACAGTCCCACCAGGAATGCACAAGAATTTTGATCTCTCTATAGTCTCATAATGCTATTTTTCATTATTTGGATAGTGGCCATCCTAATGGGTATGAGGTGATGTCTCATTGTGGTTTTGATTTCCATTTTCCTTATTTGATCATGTTGAGCATGTTTTCCTATGCTTGTTGGACACTGGCATATCTTTTTGTTTTCATCAACCCCAAATCTGACACCCTATTCCTGTCAGCACTTAGATCAGCAATTACAGTATCATGCAGACTAGTTTTACTGCTCTAAAAATCCTCCATCTATGCATCCTACCCTCTCCCCTAAACAATGGCAAACACTAATGTTTTTACTATCTCCATAGTTTTGCTTTTTTCCAGAACGTCATATTGTCAGAATCATAGGGTATGTAGCCTTTTCATATTGGCTTCTTCTGCTTAGTAACAGGCAGGTAAATTTCCTTCATATCTCAGCTTGACAGCTCATTTATTTAGCATTGAATAATATTTTTATCTGGATGTGATCCAGTTTATTACCTATTTATCTACTGAAGGACATCCTGGTTGCTTCCAAGTTTTAGCAATTGTGAATAAAGCTGCTATAAACACCTATCTGTATCTAGGTTTTTTGTGTGAATATACTCATTTGGGTAAATACTAAAGCACTTGATTGCTGGATGACATGGTAAGACTATGTTTAATTCTAAAAGAAAATATCAAACCTTTTTCAAAGCGGCTATATAACTTGGTATTTCTACCAGCAATGAACGTGAATTCCTGTTGCTCCACATCCTTGCATTTCACATTTGACATTTTAATTTGTATTTTCCCAATTATGGAAATTATGAAAATTATTGAGATTGTAAAAATTATATAATTTTTACATCAAGAAATATTTTGGGTGGGAGTGTAAATTAGTTTAACCATTGTGGAAGACAGTGTGGCAATTCCTCAAGGATTTAGAACCAGAAATACCATTTGACCCAGGAATCCCATTACTGGATATATACCCAAAGGATTATAAATTATTCTACTATAAAGATACATGCACACATATGTTTATTGCAGCACTATTTACAATAGCAAACATTTGGAACCAACCCAAATGTCCATCAATGATAGACTGGATAAAGAAAATGTGGCACATATACACCATGGAATACTATGCAGCCATAAAAAAGAATGAGTTCATGTCCTTTGCAGGGACGTGGATGAAGCTGGAAACCATCATTCTCAGCAAACTAACACAGGAACGGAAAACCAAACACCACATGTTCTCACTCACAGTGGGAGTTGAACAACAAGAACACATGGACACAAGGAGGGGAATATTACACACCGGAGCCTGTGGTGGGTGGAGGGCAAGGGGAGGGATAGCATTAGGACAAATACCTAATGCATGCACGGCTTAAAACCTAGATGAAAGGTTGATGGGTGCAGCAAACCACCATGGCACATGTATACCTATGTAACAAACCTGCACGTTCTACACATGTATCCCGGAACTTAAAATATAATAAAAATAAATAAAAGATAAAATTTAAAACGAAATATTTTTAAATACTTTTAAAGGGCCACTTTGGTATTTTGCTCTGGCTTATAACTGATGGTTCATATCTCCTATTCTTTTTCCAATTGGATTATAGTTTTCTTATTTACAGGTTTATATTCCACAAACTCCACTCTAATCCTCTTATTTATCTGTATGACAAATATATTCTCCTAGTCTGTGAAATGTCTTTTTGTTTTGTATGGTGTCCTTCAAAATAAAAAAAAATTTAATGACCTTTAATTTATCAATCACTACTTCTATGATTAATGCCTTAAAGTTTCTCTAATTTTTTTCTCTAATATTCGAGATGTTTCTATAATTTTTAAATTTTGATAGTTGTGGTTTGCACATTTAAGTCTTTACTTTAGACTTTATTGTATATTATCTATGATTATAATCTAATTTATATAAATAGCCAGTTTTGATCTATTAGTCTATTGAGCAGCACAAACTTTTCTCACTTGTTTACATTTTATTATGAAATGTATAAATTTTTATTACACATGAATAAAATGAAATGTCAATTTCCTGATAGTTTTGAAGCCTCCAGTGTTTTTCTTGCTGATTCTAACCCCTCATTGCTCATCTCTCAAGGTGAGTAGTATACTGAATTATTTTTCATTTATTTGCTTTTATGATTTTTTTCATTTGCAAGTACACCAAATATCCTCTCACAGTTTCTATTTCATTAGGTTGTTATGTGATTAAATGAGTTAACTTTTATATTTTTTTGAGACAGAATCTCGCTCTGTTGCCCAGGATGGAGTGCAGTGGTGAGATCTCGGCTCACTGCAACCTCCACCTCCCGGGTTCAAGTGATTCTCCTGCCTCAGCCTCCCAAGTAGCTGGGACTACAGGTGTGTGCCACCACACCTGGCTAGTTTTTTGTGTTTTTGGTAGAGACGGGGTTTCACCGTGTTAGCCAGGATGGTCTCGATCTCTGACCTCGTGATCTGCCCGCCTCGGCCTCCCAAAGTGCTGGGATTACAGGCATGAGCCACCGTACCCGGCCTAACATTTTAAAATTCTAATAATAGTGACAGAATATAGTAAACATCAGGGAGGTCCTTTTTAAATAAAATGGTATTTGGGTTTTTAACTTTAGATGAATGGAAGCTTTCTCTGTATCAGCAACAGAGATTATAACGATTAGAGATTTTAACCAATGCCATGTGGTATTTTCCTCAAGATAGTACTTTAATTCATTAGTGTTAATGTGTATATTGTAATTCAGTAATTCTGAATGCTGTCTAGTATTTTATTATATGAAAATATATTGTAGTTAGCCATTCTACCGTTAATGATTTTGGGGTTGATTCTTCTAAGGTATTGTTTTCTCATTTTGTACATTTCTCCTTATGTATCTAGAAACGGAATTGCTTGGTTACGGGGTATGTACAATTTCAACTTTAGGAGATAATGCCAAACCAGTTTTCAAAGTAATTCTATACTTCCCAGCAGTATATAAACATTCAACATGCATTATGTACTTGCCATTCATTCGTATATTTAGGTTTATCCATGTGTTTCCCATTTTTCATCACATCCCTGGTTGAGCTCATTTTGTGTCTTTCTGAGATTCACATTTACATAGTTCATTTGTCTGAACTGCAGAATCTGGTGCAGTGAAATAATATTATTTTGTGTGTGCGTGTGTGTGTGTGTGTGTGTGTGTGTGTGTGTGTGTTATCCTTTGAATGCCATCTTAACCCTCTTTCCTGAAAAAGTTTTGCTTTGCTTTAGGCTAACAATTAATAGTTTTTAGAACTCTGAAAATTATATCTGTCCTCTGACTTCTGTTCTTGCTGTTAAGCAGTCAGTCATCAGCCTAATTGTGCTTCTTTTGCAATTCAGTCACTTCTGGCTCTCCTCTCCCCTTTCTCTCCATCTTGTCCATCCCATATGCTCTTACTTCCTAACTCTGGCATTTGCTTTGTCTTTCTGTTCTATTTCTCAATACTCTCTCTTTTTTTCTCTCACCTGGAGATTTCCCCTTTTTAAGCTCAGCTTGACATTTAAATCAATGCACGCTATGTTATAGTTAACATTTCTAGGAATAAATAGTGTCACAGTTTTTAGGTCATCTGGTCTTCCATACTACTAAAATCAGCAGTCTGGTGTGTGTGTGTGTGTGTGTGTGTGTGTGTGTGTGTGTGTGAGAGAGAGAGAGAGAGAGAAGAGAGAGAGACAGTCTCACTGTGGCCCAGGCTGGAGTGCAGTGGCGCGATCTCAAATCACTGCAACTTCTGCCTCCCAGTTCAAGCGATTCTTGTGCCTCAGCGTCCTGAGTAGCTGGGATTACAGGCACCTACCACCATGCCCATCTAAGTTTTTGTATTTTCAGTAGAGACCGGGTTTCACCGTGTTGGCCAGGCTGGTCTCAAACTCCTGACCTCAGGTGATCCACTCGCCTCGGCCTCCCAAAGTCCTGGGATTACAGGCATGAGCCACCACACTCAGCAAAACCAGCAGTCTGAACTGCATCTTTAGTTCTGATTTCAACTTAACTAGAGAATAATCATTAGAGAGAAATCATGGACATGAGTTGGATGACTTGAAAGAGAGACCGATGAGTTCATACTGAGGAAAAGTAGAGACAATTCATTTTTATCTTAAAAAGGTTTCAGAGAATAAGTAAAAGGACAACTACTCTAAGCAAAAACATTTTAAGAGTTCATAATTCTTAGTCCTATTCTCATTACTTCCTTATTACTCCACCAGAATGAGGAAATTTTACAAACCAAGTAAGTCCAATGTCTTGCATTGAAGAGAAGAGCACTAAAAGAGCTAAATGAGAAAAGCGTTTCTTCTTCTGGAGCTGAACTTTGCAATTGGTGGTGGTTGTAACTGGGAAGATGGAGTTGCAGCTGATTTCACAGACTCTGTGATGTGGAAGTAAAATAGAATCCAGAAACATGGTCAGGCCGGTTCTTCATGTGTGACTGAGGCATGACAAGGACTGCAGGATTCCTGACGGACTCTCTGGTCCTCACACATTGTTTAGACTTTCCTCTAAGGGACATGAGGTCAACTCATTTAACTTTGCAAATACTTAGAAGAGTATTTTCTAAAGTATCACACTCTTAACTCAGGTGATGCTAGAAATGACTATGCAGTATATAGAAAGAGAGAGCAAGAGAGCGAGAGAGCGCGTGAGAGCTCCTGTCTCATCCTCTTTTTGTAAGAGCACTAATCCCATTATAAGAACCTCATCCTCATGACCTAATCTACTCCAAATTACCTCTCAAAGGCCCCACTTCCAAATACCATCTCAATGGGGATTAAGGTTTCAAGATATGAATTGTGGAGTGGGGAAAATATTCAACTTATTACAAAGCTTATAGGGTTTTGTTGGCCTATAATTGCTTAGAATAAGGCTAAAGTTGGTAGCAATGATAGATTTAAGTCTCTTTAAACAAAGAACACTAAAATCTTTGCCGATGAAACAAAAATTGAAAAGATGAAATGCATATGACTGAAGTTTGCACTCACTAAGAAGCAGAGATTAGTCTGGTTTGATCTGATCTTCTTCCACATCTCTGAGCCACAGGGGAACCAAACTACCTGTACATCTGTCATGTGGAAGATTTCATAAGTAGATGTCTCAGGCTCCAAATGGACTCAGTGATCTAACTCCTCACTCTGTAAGTTCACTGTAACACATATGACAAACTTCAGGCTACATTAATATATTCTCTCTGGTAAAATAGATTTTCCAACTTGTTTTATACTAGACTTCCCTCCCTACAGCCATTCCCACATTGATAATTAAGCAAATAAAACCAACATTTTAACATCTCTAGTCCTTGATAAATTATTACCAACTTTAGACATATGATTACTGAATGAATTTCTTGACTAATATGAATCATTGTACTTTATATCTACCTGTAGCTAACAACGTATACGTTTTCCCTGTGACTTTTTGAGTTAAGAAATATATTTAATATAAAAATCTAAAAGCGTATTTGAAGCTTAAACAGTCTCTTTAGAATATTTAAAATGTTTAAATATCTATAGCTTTGGGGGAATATCATCCATTTCTTCTATTTCACTTACTACAATAACTTGGAGTTATACTCACAAGCTGAAAGAACTATGTTTAGTATGATTTTATTGAAGTGTCTGTGTTAGATATACTTTCTAGGTGAAAAGGTTTTATGAAAGCATAGCTATTCTTTGGATACTATTATTATAACAACTGTGTTATAGCTGTTTGCCACAAACTATGCAGTGCTTTTTTTTTTCTGTCTCTGGTAGCCAATCAGCAATTTTTGAAATACTTTTGCTTTATAACAAAGATTCAATGACATTTTCCATCTTTACAGGCATTCTACTATATTTGAATGTGACTACAAATGACTGAAGTAGCAGATGGAAAATTTCCAAGCTGTGAACTAACCATTTAGACAACCTTCTCCATGTTTAACATTTAGCATTTCTCTCAATTAAGAGAGAATGTGAAACAATGTAAAAGTTTTAACTTTAAAATAAGTGAATAATTTGTTCAATTTTATTTTCTAAGAACACAATAAAACTGTTAATTGAACATATCGCAGACTTTGGTCAAATTTTTCTTCCCTATATATATGCTAAATCAATTTACAGACTACACCAAAGAAGCTAAAACCAGAATATTTAAGATTGCAATCACCAAGGCTCAAATTTCTTTATTTTTCCCCTGAAATCTTACTTTAAACTGCAAAACTTTCCAATAATCTGGTATTTTCTTCTGAGTCTACACCTCCTTTAGAAAAATACAAAAGAAAGGCATATTTCAAAACACAGTGCTTTCATGTAATTTATTATTCTGAGACAAGTATAATGAATACGCCAAACAGCGTATTAGAAGATGAAAAGCTGCAGGTGATATCTTAAAAGTAAAGCCAATAGTATTGACACTGTTCCCCTTGCTTTTTGATTCACACTGAAATAAACATTCATCTCTGCAGAATAAAGGAAGACTTAAACACCATTTGTAAATAAAGCTGGTGAGACACTGAGGCTAACGAGAAGGGATGCCAAAAATGTAATCAACCCAGTTCAACAACAACAAAACAACACATTTAATGTGTGAGGGGTGGGGGAGGACATCATAAAAATTATGTTAAGCATCCTTAAAATAGTCATCATATTTTATCAATTTGAAGGCATCATCAGTTGTACAATGTGCCACTGCTTTAGTAACAGTTATCCTGGGGAAAATAAAATATTACTAATAATGTAAACATGGATATTCATATAATACTTAAATTGTAATAACTAATAATTTTAGTAACAATTCTAATGTGCATGCTGATATCTGAAAATTTAAAAGAGAATAAAGAGCACATAAATTATTTTTCAATTTGCAGACAGTATTTTGTGATGTAGTCAGTGTTTTATTTTTCTAAATAAACTAGCTATCTCACTATTAATCCTTGGTGCAAGAAAGAAAATTCCTGTCATATATGTTCAGCTGAAGAAAATATAATTCTGGCCTTTCTAATGAAGGACAGAAAGAATAATGAAAAGCAAATACTTCCTTTGAGATACACACTTTTTAATATAAATGTCTCAGAGCAATTCCTAATCTAATCTGAAGATCTGATTCAAGATATAAGGAATCATCATTCCTATATCTAATGATAACTTTGTCATCATTCCTCACCGCGGTCTCCTCAGGTAATAGACAACATCATTTTACAGCTATGCAAAGAACTGTAGAAATGTATTACATGGCTAAGTTCCTACTAGAAATGTAATTAATTTTGCCTAATGGATTAGATTAAAAATAAGAATTTATTTACATATTGCATATCCATTAACAAATTACTGATGCTATAGTTATTTTTAATAACATTTATCTTTTAGTATTTAGAGTTATAAGTGATTTACATATTATCATTACAGTACTAGTGTGTATTCTGTATCCTGAATTTAGAATTATTTTTAAATATTATAAATATAAAAAGATGTAAATTGTGAAATTAAAAACATAAATGTTGGGGTGGGAAGACGTGTAGGATTTTTGTATGGAATTAAAATTAAGTTTTTATCAGCTTAAAATGAATCGTTGTAACTATAAGCTGGTTTTTATAAGCCTTATGTTAAACACATAGCAAAAACCTATAGTAAATACACAAAAGGTAAAGAGAAAGCAATCAAAGCATACCACTACAGAAAAATCATCAAATCACAATGGAAGATAGCAAGAGAGAAAGAAACAAAAGATCTACGAAACAGCTAGGAAGGAATTTTTTAAATGGCAATAGTAAGTCCTTACCTATTAATAATTACTTTAAATGTAAGTGAATTACATTCTACAACAAAAAGACATAGAATGTCTTAACAGATAAAAAAAAAACAATATCCAATAATGTGCTGCATACAAGAGTCTCACTTCCACTTTGAGGACACAGATATACTAAAACTGAAAGAACAAAAAACACATTCCATGCAAATGCAAACCAGAAAAGAGCACAGGAAGCTATACTTACATAAGACAAAATATACTTTAAGCAAAAAATGGTAAAAAGAGACAAAAAGTCATTATATAAATATATAGCAATTAATCAAGAGAATATAATAATTATAAATATATATGTACTCAATATGAGAGAACCCAAATGTATAGCAAATATTAATAAATCTGAGGGGAGAAAGAGACAGCAAAACAATAATAGTAAAGGACTTCAATATCCCACTTCCAACAATGGATAGATCATATAGACAGAAAATCAATTAAGAAACATTGAACTTAAATGAAACTTTAGAGGAAATTGACCTAACAGTCATATACAAAACATTTCATTCAACAGCAGCAGAATACACCTTCTCAAGAGCACACAGAACATTCCCCAGGATAGATAATATGTTAGTCCACAAAACAAGCATTAACAAATTAGGAAGTTTGAAGTCATATCCAGCATCTTTTCTAACCACAATGGTATGAAACTGGAAATCATTGAGAGGGGAAAAGTTGGAAAATTCACAAACATGGCAATTAAAACAACATACTCCTTAAAAACCAGTAGGTCAAAGAACAAATCAAAATGAAATAAAAAATCTGAGATAAATGAAAATGGAAACACAACATACCAAAACTTACGGGATACAGCAATAGCAGTTCTAAGAGGAAAGTTTATAGTACCGAATACCTAAAAAATAAAAAAAATTCAGAAATAAAAAAAACTCAAATAAGCAATCTATCTTTATACCTCAAGGAACTTGAAAAAGAACAAACTAAGCTCCAAATTAATAGAAAGAAGGAACTAATAAAGATTAGAGCAAAAATAATTACAATGAAGAAAAAAATAAAAAGATCAATGAAACTCAAAATTAATTTTTTGAAAAGATAAAATTAACAACCATTTAGATAAGAAAAACAGAAGACCCAAATAAATAAAATCAGAAACAGACATTACAACTGATGCCACAGAAATACAAAGGATCATATGAGACTGCTATGAACAATTATACTCCAAGAAATTGAACAGCATTAAAGAAATAGATAAATTCCTACAAACATACAACCTACCAAGATGGAATCAACGAGAAATAAAAAAATCTAAACAGATGAATTATGAGTAATGAGATTGAATAATTAACCAAAATCTCCCACCAAAGAAAAGTCCAGGGCCTTATGGATTCACTGCTAAATTCCACCAAACATTTAAAGAATTCATACCAATCCTTATCAAACTCCTCCAAAAACTGAAGAGGAAGAAACACTTTCAAACTCATTTTTTAAGATCAGCCTGGGCTGGGCGTGGTGGCTCACGCCTGTAATCCCAGCACTTTGAGAGGCCGAGGCAGGCGGATAACGAGGCCAGGAGATCGAGACCATCCTGGCTAACACAGTGAAACCCCGGATCTACGAAAAGTACAAAAAATTAGCTGGGCATGGTGGTGGGCGCCTGTACTCCCAGCTACTTGGGAGGGTGAGGCTGGAGAATGGCGTGAACCTGGGAGGCGGAGCTTGCAGTGAGCAGGGATCATGCCACTGCACTCTAGCCTGGGCGACAGAGCAAGACTCCGTCTCAAAAAAAAAAAAAAAGAAAAAGAAAAAAGGAAAAAAAAATTCAGCCTGATTCCAAGCCAGAAAAGGAGACTACAAGGAAAGAAAATTACAGGCCAATATGACTGATGAATATAGATGCAAATCCTCAACAAAATACTAGCAAGCTGATTTCAATAACAGTGTAAAAGGATCATATATTATGACCAAGTGGAATTTATCCCTGGGACATAAAGGTGGTTCAACATATGAAAATTAATAAATGTGATACATAACATTAACAGAATGAAGGCTTAAAATCTTATGATCACGTCAAAAAATGTAGAAAAGGCATTTGACAATATTTAACATCCTTTCATGATAAAAACTCCAAACAAATTAGGAATAGAAGAAATGCTCCCTAATACAGTAACAGTCTTAAAACTTTTAACAAGTATTGGGAGGATGTGGGTAAAAGCGAACCCCTGTACAAGCCCAAAGTTAACATCACACTCAATGGTAAAAAGTTAAAAGCTTTTCCTCTAAGATCCTCAAATCTTTGTCTCTAAGACAAAAATTCATAGAGAACTACAAAAGATTCCAAATAGCTAAAGCAATTTTGAACAAGAAGAAAAAAACTGATGGCATCATACTTCCCAATTTCAAATTATATTACAATGCTGTAGTAATCACAACATCATGGTACTTGCATAAAAGCAGAAACATGGACCAATGGAGCATAATAGAAAGCACAGAAATAAGCCCACACATATAAAGTCAAGTAATCAATAAAAAAAGTGACAAGAATATACAATGGGAAAAAATAATCTCTTCAATAAGTGGTATTAAAGAAATGGATATCTACATGCAAAGCAAAATGAAATTGGGCTCTTATCTTACATCATGTACAAAAATCACAACAAGAGAAAGTATTTCCAAACCATATAACCAATAAGGAGTTAATATCAAACTACGTAAGAAACTTATACAACTCAACAGCAAAAACAAACAAAACAAAAAAAAACAACAAATAATCCAATTTTAAGAGGGGCAAAATACCTGAATAGACATTTTTTTCCAAAGAAGACATAGACAACAGGTATATGAAAAGGCACTCATTATCAGTAATGATCAGGAAAATGCAAATCAAAACTACAATGAGATATTAACTCTCATCTGTTAGGATGTCTATTATCAAAAGTTAAAAGATAGCTAGTGTTGGTGAAGATGTGGAGAAAGGGGAACACTTATACCCGTTGGTAGGAATGTAAATTGATACAGCCATTATGAAAAACAGTATGGAGGTTGCTCAAAAAATTTAAAATGTAACTATCCACATGATCCAGCAATCCCAGTTCTGGGTGTATATCCAGGGGCAATAAAATCACTATTTCAAAGAGACATCTGGACTCCAATGAACTCCCATGTTCATTGCAGCATGATTCACAATAGCCACAATAGGGAAACAACTTACATGTATGGAGATAGATGAATGGATAAAGAAAATCTAATATATATGTACATTGGAACATTATGCAGCTTTAAAAAAATCAAGAAATCCTGTCTTTATGAAATTAGAATAATGCCATGTCCATTACACTAAGTGAAATAAGACAGACACAGAAAGCAAATACTGCATGATTGCACATGTAAGAGGAATCTAAAAGTTGAACTCACAGAACAGAGTACAGAGGTAGTTAGCAGAGGTCGAGGGATGAAAGAAATGGAGATATGTTGGTAAGATGGTACAAATTTTCAGTTATCCGAAGAATAAGTTCTGTTGACTATAGTCAGCAGCAAGATATTGTACAGTTGAATATTGCTGAGAGTAGATCTTAAGTGCTTTTTTTTTTTTTTTTTTGAGACAGACTCTTGCTCTGTCGCGCAGGCTGGAGTGCAGTAGCATGATCTTGGCTCACTGCAACTTCCACCTCCCAGTTTCAAGCAATTCTCCTGCCTCAGCCTCCTAAGTAGCTGGGATTACAAGTGTGTGCCACCATGCCCAGCTAACTTTTGTATTTTTAGTATAGACCACGTTTCACCATGTTGACCAGGCTGGTGTTGAACTCCTGACCTTAGGTGATCTGCCCACCTCAGCTTCCCAAAGTGCTAGGATTACATGCATGAGCCACCGGGCCCGGCCAAGTTCTCTTACCACACACACACACAGAGGAGGGGTAACTACACGAGGTTAGAGATGTGTCAATTACTAATAGTTTGATTGTGCTAACTATTTCATAATATATAGACATGTCAAAACATCATATTGTACACCTTGACTATATACCATTTTGCCAATTATATCTTAATAAAGTAGGAAAAATAAATTAACAATATTATAAAAGTATTGAAACAAATCAGGTATAATTCATAATTGAGAATGATTTGAAAATTAAATTAGAAAAAAGCCATAGCTCAGAATATGAGAGAGACGACTTGGAAGAGCAAATGATGACATTTTAAGACAAAGTAAAAATAAACTAATTTAAGGGCATAAAAACTATTGGGGAATATTAATAACATTTTTGGTCTAATATTTGTTTTTCATTCAAGTCAACACTGACTTGAATTAGAGTAATGGAAAAAACAGCAGGTCCGAGAAATATCTTGCAGTTGTAGTCAGTGGAATTTACAACCGAAGAAGTTTAAGAAGAAAGTCAAAGACGACTGTGGAAATTCAAGCCCAGGTTGCTGGAGAACACTGCTTTCATTAAAATTACAAGGCAGGCACGAGGGGAAAAGGTTGATTTTGAAGTACCAAAGAAAAGTAAAATAATCTACTGCTCAGTCATTTTCTATAAAATAAAAGTTGTAGGTAAGATAGAAACCCACATCTTGGGGATTAGGTCAACATTTTGGTTTGTGTGTATGTGACTTTGAGTTTTTATTTATTTTGCTTTGTTTTATTGGCCAAAGAAGAAAAATGCTATAAACAAATAATCAGTTAATATTAAAAGGAAATCAATGCCCCTTAGTGAAGTTACAAGCATGATTCTTACTTCAGATAACATGATGCTATGAAAAAAAAAATGACTGGAAAGCATCAAGAGTAACATTTTTTTTTTTTTTTACGTAGAGCTCAATTTTTATTTTTGTTTCATTTTATGGTAAGATTCCTTTATCAAATTCCTTTATAAAACCTATGGATTCAACAAGCCTTGTGGTTTTGACCCATAGTTTATTTTGTTATGCCATTGCAAAAAAACACAGCTCCTACAGTTTTTCAAGTTTTTTTTATTTTTCTTCCAAAACTCGAAACAGAAAATTGGGACCAACACTCAGTAACTGACATTTCGCATCTCTGCCTATGCTTCTAGTAGCTGTTTTACCTCCCCTTGGAACTGTGAGCCATGGAATGGATTTAGCCAGATAATTAGGGCAACAATAGTTTCAATGGTGACTTGTGTTTCTTTTCTGTGTTCTTTTTTTGTTCTCTTCTGACTCTGAGGTCACAGTGATTCTCTCTAATCTCAGATTTGGGGGCAATGTGGGGAAAGCCCTGGCCACTGAAATCAGACCAGCTTAGGTAAAATCACAGTCCGATCCTTAATTTTGTATTCTCATCCACACTACTTATATCTTTAATTTTTCATATCTGTAAACTGGAGATTGTAGCCTCTTCCTTTCAGGTTTAGTGTGTTTGATGAGCCCTATAACACTAGTGGTGAACATTATGGTTCCAAGAAGAAGTGACTGTGTTCTGCCACTTTACAGCTAGGTACCCTTGAGCAGGTTATCTCCTTTTCAATTTCCTCCATAAAACTGGTATAATAAAGGCATTAATCCTGCCCCACATACAACATCTATTCACCTATGATGGACCAGGCACTCTTCTAGACTCTTAAAACATTGTAAGATTAAGTAAAATAAAATACGTAAGAATGGCCGGTTATAATATTGTCCCTACACATCACCTCTCTTTCTTGTAAAGATTTTCTATCTCCCCTACCCCTGCTGAGCTCCCTGTAGGTGGAAAATACTTCTCTGCCCCATTGTTAGGATCTGATCAATGGCTAATGAACATGAACAGACACAGTAAGATGTATACCATGTCCCAGTTGAAATTTCAAATATGCTTTTTTTTCCATCCTCTATGAAATGTGTCAAATAGGGACTTGGTCTTTTAGCCATGGTCTCAGAGAGATAGGACCACGTGAAACAGAGACACATAGCTTAGAGCTACATGAAATTACACAGAGCTATGATTAAGATCTATCTGTCTGTCTATCTATCTGTCTGTCTGTCTATGTCTTTGCTCTTATTCTCTATGCCAACCTACACGCTTGAGAGCAAGAAATAAATGTAGTCATAAGCTACTGAGACTTGGCTTTCAACAAAAGCTGACTGACATATACTATAGTATCTGGCACATAGAATTACTTAATATTTTAGCAATAATACTAAAACTAAACTAAAATATATAACGAGAGTATATAAAACACCTAAAATTATTGACATTCCTCTACCTACTTATCCATCCAACAACTATTTGTTGAGTACTAGTATGTGTCAAATACTGTTGTAGGAATTGGAGATTAAACAGTGAAGAGGTGATATACCTGCTCTCATGCAACTAACATCATTATGGGGGAAAATAGAAATTTAACCATAAGGGTGATAGGTGATGTGGAGAAAAATAACACCAGGAATAGAAATAGAAAATGCCAGATAAGAAAGAAACTGTGTTGTGTTGTGTTCAGAGGAGGCTTCCCTGAAGAAGAAACTCTGGCAGAGACCAGAAGGAAGTAAGGGAGAGAGTCAGATAGACATCTGTGGGAAACCTGTTCCAGGAACAGGGGAAAGCAGATGGAAAAGCCCTAACCATATGACATGGTTTGGCTGTGTCCCTACCCAAATCTCATCTTGAATTATGGCTCCTATAATTCCCAAATGTCATGGAAGGGACCCATTGAGAGGTAATTGAATCACGGGGGCGGGTCTTTCCTACACTGTTCTTGTGAAAGTGAATAAGTCTTACAAGATTTGATAGTTTTATAAAGGGGAGTTACCCTGTACACACTCTCTTTGCCTATAACTTGTAAGACTTGACTTTGCTCCTCCTTCACCTTCTGCCATGATTGTGAGGCCCTCACAGCCATGTAGAACTGTGAGTCAGTTAAATCACCTTTCTTTATAAATTACCCAGGCTCGGGTATGTCTTTATTAGCAGTGTGAGAATGGACTAATACACCATAAATTGGCTGAAGTGCTCAAGTATTAGCTAAGAGGCCTTTGTAGTAGGGAAAAGTGAATGAGATATACACTGGTGAAAGGTGAATTCAAGAGGTATAAGGGGTTAGTCATTTATTCCTTGGAAGCTATCATTAGTTTGAGGTTTGCTCTGAATGAGATAGAAAGTCATAGGAAGATTCTGACAATAGAATGACCTAACCTTATCTAAGTTTGAAAAGAAACATGTGGGCTGCTGTTTTCAGAATATAGCTCTCAAGGGTAGGAGCAGATAGATCATTTAAAAAGCAATTGCAATAATCCATGCATAGACACTGGTTGCTTGGACCATGGGGAAAGTGGTGAGGGCAATGAGGGTGGGTACTAAATCAAATTTGTTAATATAAACCAGATTTGTTAATATGGAATAAGCAGCTAGATAGAAACTGTCATTTGCTGAGATAGGGAGGTATACAGGAGTGGCAGGATTGAGAGGCAACTGGTAATCAGGAATTCACTTTTAGGCATTGAGAGGTAAGGGTAAATTTGTTCAATTCTGCCTCTTGTTTTACTAGCCTTCGAGAGAGGGATTCAGCTGTCTCCAGAGTTCTATGAAAACCATGACACACAGTGGTAACACCAATCGATCCTGTTAGGATGCTGAGTGGTGGGTAGGATCAGAGCTGTGTCACATAGCTACAACTGAAAAGACTGGAATCAGCCCCATCACCTGACTCTGCATGGGATGGAGCTGGTGCTCCGCAGACCAGTGAGGCTAAGATGATAGAGCAGGGATGAATGTTACGTTTTCGGCAATTGAGAATGTTGTTGGGCCCCAGCCTCTGATCACTCCAGGGAGGAGATCATGTTCCCTCTTGTCGTGCACTTTAAGAGCTCTCAGTCTGAGTGCCAAACTCCAGTCTTCTTAGATCACTATGCACTTCTCAGAATGGGTTTCTCCTCATAACACTATTCAAGGCCTGGGTTGTGTTTATTTTAGGTTATTTTCTATCATTATCTTTAAGATGCCTTCTAGACATCCAGGTTAAGCTGTTGAGTAGGTAGTGAGTATATGAGTCTGGAGTTAGGGGAAAGTTTGAAAATTGATATATATCTGGAAAATATGTCATTTATGTCATTTTAATAGACATAAAACCATAAAACAGTGAGGAAATGGTTGACAACAATTGTTAGAAATATTTAAAGTGCCTCCCGAGAGTAATCCGAGAGGTTAATAAAGTATCCAATGCGATGTAATTATAAGGCAAATGGTTTGGTTATTGTAACTCCTTAAATATAATGGAATTACATTTTAACTTCAGACATGATTTTCTAGTATTTTGCATGTGATAAGTCATAGACATAAGTGATTCAAACATCTTGACTATGTTTGACACTTGAAAACTAATTACTAGCAAGGATCTAAAAAAATCTTTTCCAGAGTTAATAGTTTTGAGAAAAAGAATAAAAGCAAGGTCATATTGGAAATTTTGTAGAAATGAAATATTGATTTCCTTGCAAGTTTTCCAAGTAAACAGATTTAGAAATAACCCCAAATTGAAATGTTCTCTCTTACCAGGGTAGAGGGTGCAGTCCATAAATGACAGATCATCAATCGCAATATCTCCAGTGAAGCCATCTCCCACTGAAGCCTCCACCAATATCTAAAAAAATAAAATAAAAAATAAAAATAAGAAATGTGTTTATGTGGTAAAGGAAATTAAGTTATGGAATGGATGAAGAGGAATTTAAAATGTACCCAAATATAACCTTCTGTGCCATTAAAAAACTGCTTTGCAGTAGTCTCCAGAAGTGGTCATCTTGCCTTGAATACTTCTAGTAACAGAAACCTCCATACTACATTGAGCCTATTAGACCCATGGAACTCATTGCATTTCTTATGAGTTTCCATTTTTGAAATTTCAGTATATTAGATTGATATCCACTGCCCTATAACTTTCAGCCATTAGTTCTAGATTTGTGTTGTTCCCTTCTGGTCCTTTAAGTATTTGAAGGCAAATAATTGTTCCCTCATCCTCCTGGGTCATCTGTTTCCCAAATTAAACCTCCTCATCCTCCTAGATTTTCTACCAGAGTTACTTGCTAGGATATACAGTTTTAAGGGCTTTAAAATGTTTCTCACATGACACTGATTCTGTAACACTTTATGAAATTGGCTAATCGTGATTAGATCTCCTTCAGGGCCACATTAATCACAGTGAACTCAGATGACATTTGTGCTGCTGCAGGAGCGGCAGTTCCACCAGAACTTAGTAAAATATGAAATACCACATATAGACGAACCACTGTAGTATATGGTAGATTGTGATTAGGGTTGAGATTTACTGTAACAGAATTGATCATGATGAATTATTTTAATACTTATGCAAATGTCTTGCATGCTTACTAGGAATCCCAGCATAATTTAATAATAAAGAACTTCTAGCAAACTCAAACTTAGAAAAATACATTATGTTTTCCCATTATTATATGAACATATGTTTTCATTTCATTTTCCTCACAAATGTTATATGTGGGAGTTGAAGTTTTACTTTTCAAGCTCTAGCCTTCATTGAAAATTACCACAAACATTATTTGTTGACATTCTCCTTATGAAAGAAAGTTTTAAAAGGTCAAATTGCTGACCTCAAACCTCTTAACACTTTTCTCCAACTTTCTACCCTTTCTTGAGGTCTACCAGGATTTTCTCCCTGATTTGTCACTGAGAAAATTAATTAATTTGGGAAATGTTTCTGCATAGAACTAGTGGGCAAATATAGTCCCCCTGACATTGTTTGAACAACATTTAATGGTGTTATACAGGAAGTGTCCCGCTGTTTTACAATGAGTCTCTCCAAACATAAAAATGCATCCTTTTTCCCACCACCATCATGAGTGAAAGGCATTATAGGCAGAGAAAACAAAAATGTATAAAGAATGTTTAGTCCAAACTCATACAATTATTTTCAATAAACCTAAACTAGCAGACAGAATTTGAAAGAACATACTACAGAAAAACGTATTCTGTTTTATTTTTAAAAATAGAGTTGGGTGAACAGTTGGGGAAAAGGCACAAATATGAATTAATCACCAGTTAATGTCCTGTACCCATACATGTAAATCCCACTGCAATAAAACACAGAACATGCTAACAAATTGCTTAGAAGAAACTAGGGTAAATAAAAATAAATACTATTGACTTGGCCTCACTCCTCATGATTATCATTATCTTATTAATGAGAAGGAATAGAAAATTGATAGTAACATCCCACTTCATAGAGAGTGAAGCTGTTGTACATATAAGTAGCTGGAAACCAGCTTTAGGGATATATACACATTCATAGCTCCATTCTGGTGTTTGGAGTCAATTGTTCCAAGACTTTTTATTGTCTTTATATAGTCACAAATTAAAGAATTGGCTATTTATGAAAATTTAAGACAAAATTCTGTAACCCAGAGAGGGCCATAACAGGTTAGAGAATGTGATTTGCTCAAGGCATTTTTCCTTTGGAGTTTCCTTCATGTTGCATGAGAAGTATTTTAATATTGTTTCTATCTGCATTCAAGGCCAACGGAAAGACAGAAACAATCCAAGACAGAAGACAGTTGGGTTTGCTCTAATACATAATTTAATCATAATTTTTACCAAAATATCTTCAATTTGCTAACCTCTAAATGTTAGCATTCTTGAGAATTAATGAACAATAATTACAATTTGAGAAACTAAAATTGTCCATTTGTATGATAGTCTCAATCTCTTTTGAATATTTAAGAAAAGCATTTTTAAAAGACTTTTTGATAATAATCACACTTCAGCAACAAAGTTATGACTGTTAAGGTTTAACCCTACTTTAACCCTATATTTTAGTCTTGCAAAAAAGCTTGGTAAATTATTCTAAAATAGTAGTCCTGAGAAAATGACCACAAAAAGAATAAACCCAAATGCCTCTATTATGAAAATGTCACTTTCATTTATGGTGTTTTTCCCCGAGAACGAATAGAAGATTATCAAAACACAAGCATTATACATTGTATATAAGACAGTATTGATTCCGGAAATTAGGGAAGTCGAATTTTACTCCTAAGTCCCATTGCTACCTTACGGAGTGCCTCAAAGGGCAACTGAAAATCCAGTTTAGTTTAAATGACCTGCCTTATCTGTACAGGTCAATTCTACTTATATTAGAACTATCATCGTCTTGGAAATGTTATGAAGTAAACCAGCTCATCCAAGCTGTTCTTTGCATGGGCTGCCACCTGCTCCACGTAAAGACAGACTGGCCTTGGTAACCACGTTGGAACTTTGAGGCTTAAACATTAATGGGGCTCTAGCAACTTTCCTGAACTCATCCTTCTATGTATTTAGGAAACTGAATGACTGACCAAAATTTTAAATGATATAAAAACGATTGTCCTCACATACAAACACATGTTTTAGCCTCAGTTAACTCATAAGAGAAATGGAATTAATTCAACCTGCTGCTTACTTTCACTTTAGCCATCATGTATTTGTAAAATATTACACAATTCCAATATAACATATCAGTTTTTAATATAATGTATCCTCAGATACATTATATTAAAAATTGGTATGTTTTATAACTATAATGTATTTTCAGATATATTATAAATTTATAAACTTTAAATAAGAATTTCTGTCTCAAATATAATGTATTTTATATGAAGATACATTATATCTGAGGCAGAAATTTTAGTTTAAAATTTATAAAAAGCACATATTCTATGTGGAGCAACTGGGACTCCAATGCATTCCTGATGAGAATCCTAAATGGCACAGCCATATTAATACAACTAATTTGGCAGGTTCTTATAAAATTAAACATACACTTTTATATGACATGGCAATGCACATGTAGGTATTTGTTTATTCAAGACAAATGAAGATGTGTCTAAACAAGAATCCATTAACAAGGTTTATACAGGCTTTGTTAATAATCTCCAAAAGCTCAAATCAACCCAAATATCTCCCAACTGGTAAGCAGATAAGCAAATTGCAGTATATTCATACAATAGAATACCACTCAGCAACAAAAAGGAACAATGATGTAGGCAACAACAGCTGTGAACCTCAAAAGCATTAAAGTGAAAGAAGCCAGACTCAAAAGCCTGTATCATTTATCAGCTCCTTTTATGCCATTTTAGAAAAGTCAGAATTTTTGGTGTATTAGAATACTCTCATGCTGCTATAAAGAACTGCCTAAGACTGGGTAATTTGCAAAGAAAAGAGGCTTAATTGACTCACAGTTCCGTAGGGCTGGGGAGGCCTCAAGAAACTTACAATTGTGGCAGAAGGAGAAGATAACATGTCCTTCTTCACATGGTGACAGGAGAGAGAATGAGACACGAGCAAAGGGTGAAACCCCTTATAAAACCATCAGATTTTGTGAGAACAGTATGGGGGAAACCACCCCCATATATCCACCTGGTCCCACCCTTGACCCATGGTGAGTATTACAATTCAAGGTGAGATGTGGGTGAGGACACAGAGCCAAACCATATCAATTGGGAAAGAAATCAGATTTGTGTTGACAGGAGCTGGGGGTGTAAAAGGAGGAGATTGACTATATCAGGAAATGGAAGATTTGGGGGAATGGTGGGGATATACTCTATTTTGGTTGTAGTGGTTGCTTACACAACTGTATACAGTTGGCTCTTAAACAACATGAGTTTGAACTGCCTTGGTCCACTTATGTGTGGCTTATTTTAAATAAAACACAATAAAAAATACTTGTGGCTGTGAAAGATGTGTATACAGAGGGCCAACACTTTGTTTCCAGTGCAGGACTTGAGTATGTGCTGATTTAGTTACATGGGGGCAGTCCTGGAGCTGATCCTCTGAATCCCAAAAGACAACTGTACATTTGTTGAAATTCATAGAACTGCTCACCTAAACAGGATAAAATCGACATATAAATTATACCTCAATAAACAAATACAAAGCATTTATTCTATACTTATTGCCATAAGTCATCAATGTGTCTATTACTTTCATGTCTTTTTCTCAATTGCTAATTTAATGTGTGGCATTTTATAACCAGCATATAGTAATCTCAAGAATCTCAATCTATTCTTCAATTCAGCTATGAACAATTTTCTGTTGCTATCCACTTATAATTTCCTAGAGGACAAATACTTACGCTCTCTCTTATACTTCTTAATGACACCCACTTATTTTTCATTGGATTTTCCAATAATCAAAAATGCACAAACAGAATGAAAGGCATTACATGAAGCTCTCTTTTAGCCCATTTTAACACCTAAGGTGTTAAGTAAATTCTTATAAACGCATTCAGACAACGATCTAATATTTAACCACATAACCTACAATTCTTGGGAGCTTTTAGAAAATCAGCTTAGAATTCCAAACTTTTTAGGCCAATACTGAGGGAACTATTTGCTGGATACAATATAAAAGGGTTTTTAAATCATCTTTGCAATTGTTTACACAACCCTGAAACCAATCTCTATGAAATAAAACTCAGATTTGGCCTGACAAATTTTATGATTCTAACTCTGTGGCTGACTCTATCACATACACAAAGCTGCAGAATAATTGGAGTTTTTCAATTACTATAGTAGACATATGAAAACCATTTATCATGAAACAAGGGTCATAAGTGCCATATTAAAACTGTGTGAGAAACTGGGCAAAGGAATGGATAATAATAACATTGTGGTAATAGTAGAGACAAAATAAAATGCTGGGATATATAAGTAGTCAAGAACTATAAGATGATTACTGACAAAAAAATATGATGTCTACCAAATCTGTTTTCTTATTTTGGGAAACAAAATCATAACAAAATTTATGTTGATCTTTTGGCATTATATTGTATTTCTTCTTAGCTAATGTCTGGCTTATAGCTTGCTGAGAACTTTTGATTAAAAAAAGAAAAATGAGT